>NC_000006.12:124464729-124767759 GCF_000001405.40 Homo sapiens
TGTTTTGGTACCAGTACCATGCTGTTTTGTTTACTGTAGCCTTGTAGTATAGTTTGAAGTCAGGTCACGTGATGCCTCCAGTTTTGTTCTTTTTGCTTAGGATTGTCTTGGCTATATGGGCTCTTTTTGGTTCCATATGAAATTTAAAGTAGTTTTTTTTTCTAATTCTGTGAAGAAAGTCAATGGTAGCTTCATGGGGATAGCATTGAATCTATAAATTACTTTGGACAGTATGGCCATTTTCACAATATTGATTCTTCCTATCCATGAGCGTGTACTGTTTTTCCATTTGATTATGTCCTCTCTTATTTTCTTGAGCAGTGGTTTGTAGTTCTCCTTAACAAGGTCCTTCACATCCCTTATAAACAGAAATACCATTTGACCCAGCAATCCCATTGCAAGGTATATACCCAAAGGATTATAAATATTTCTACTATAAAGACACATGCACATGTATGTTTATTGCAGCACTGTTCTCAATAGCAAAGACTTGGAACCAACCCAAATGCCGATCAATGGTAGACTGGATAAAGACAATGTGGCACATATACACCATGGAATACTATGCAGCCATAAAAACGGATGAATTCATGTCCTTTGCAGGGACATGGATGAAGCTAGAAACCATCATTCTCAGCAAACTAACACAGGAACAGAAAACCAAACACCACATGTTCGCACTCATAAGTGGGAGTCGAACAATGAGAACACATGGACAAGGAAGGGAAACATCACACACTGGGGCCTGTCAGGGGGTGGGGGCTAGATGAGGGACAGCATTAGGAGAAATACCTAATGTAGATGACAGGTTGATGGGTGCAGCAAACCACCATGGCACATGTATACCTATGTAACAAACCTGCAGGTTCTGCACATGTATCCCAGGACTTAAAGTAAAGTTAAAAAAAAAAAAAAAAGAAATTCCTTTGACAAGGAACCTCAATTTCTTTGTCTATGTAAGATTGTGCTATAGAAACTACATGGTCACCTCCATTTCTAAATTGTTAGAATGCTGTCAACCTGTAAACATCATGGCATTAAGAGAGCATTTGCCTAACTGTGAAAGGGTTGTATGGAAAAATAATAATATATTGCATCAATAGTTAGAAAGTTTTAACTTTTAGAAAATGATTTTATGAAATTAGCCTGTGTAACTTCATAAATAGATGAGTTAATGAAATTCTAAACATGTGAATGTTTGCTAAAAATAAAAATATTTTATCCCCTTTCCACTTTAGGAAAAAATATATTAAATATAAAAACAAACTCACATGTATCAATATTTTTTTAAATCATTAACCATCCTTCTTTCATAGGTTTAAAATCTTTATTGAAGGGATCACTGTAATGTTTTACACACAACGTTTGGCTGATAGTAACTGGCAATTGGATTTAGAATCCCAATTCAAGCACAAATCCCTGGATGTCACAGGGGAACCTTGATCCTTGATCTAAGGCAAATAAGTTCTTCTCCAAGTTTTATAAAAGAGGATCACTTATAGCCAACCATGACGTTATAACTCTCATGGCATGGTGCTTAGTGAGAGAACAAGCTACTCTAAGTAGCAAAGCATTGAAAACTGAAGAGCCTCCTGTAAAATGTAAGCTACTTTTAGCATGCAGTCATAGGGAGCTGGATTTTATTTTTTTAATTCAGTAATTCAGCTTTCAAATGATAGTGTTCAGTTGTTATAAAGGTCACCTGCCCTTGGCCTCATTTCAGCTTAATTGGGACAGGTTAATCTTCTTTTCTGTTGTTCTTTCAATTTGGAATGAAACTGGGATCTCTATTAGTACTGCTCATCCATCAAATCCTATGACCTTGAAAGAAGGCAGCAGCCCTTCTTCTCAGGAGAGAGTCTGAAGATGAGAATTAAAATAGGTCTTCTCAGTGGAGACCCACGGCAACATGTAATAAGACATGTAAAAAAAGACTCTATCACTGCAGGCATCCTGTAACATTTCTCCAAGTTACATATGGAGTCAAAAAGAGAATTTATTTAAGCTCAGAGTAAAAAAAGAAAAAAAAAAAAAGAAATCAGGAAAATATGTTAAATTCTTCTAAAAATCAACTAAAATTGTCTATGAAAATGTTCAATGGACGTAGATTTTAAAATATGTTTTCTTTCCAATTATGAAACTTTCCAGGTATGAAAGTTTTAACTTTCTCGCTAGAAATATTTCCAAAAAAAGGAAGAGTAGTTATATTAGCAAAAGGTGTGGATAATAATGCCCTTTTCATAATTATAAAAAATATTTTTGTTTAAACAATGAGAAGACTTGTTGAAGTAACCGTAGGATAGGCTGCTTGTATGATAATAAACACAAAGTGAGGATGAATATATAAAGATCACTATTATAACAGCAATACTTCATACATGAGTCAATGTTTATTTTGCTAGGTTTGGTTATTGAGGAAAATTGCCATGATCCCAGACCACTATGGAAAGTTTATAAAAACAAGGTGTAATGCTTCCTTTTAACTTCACAATAAGCAACCTATGTAAGAACACATACCGAACACCAAGTAAATTACCACTCTTCTTCTAGAATTATCCAAGAAAACAACATCAGGAAGAAAAATTAGTTTGATGCATGTAAGACTGAAGAGCTTTTCACATGATATAGGACTACAAACATTAAATAGTCTGAAAAAATGTTGAATTCATTATAATTAAAGACCATTATCTGAAAATGAAAGAAAAGACTTCACTACAGTTACATGTTTTACATGCTTCATTTTCCATGTGATTTCATGCTTGTAAAGCCACCCAGAAGGATCCCTACATCTCCAAGTTCAGTGCTGTGTTCTGTTTATAAGTTGCTCTATTTACAAGGAAAACTCAGAGAAGGCTCTCCAAAAGTGATTCAAAGTCTAGGGCAATTTAATGATCATTCATCGAAAGTTGTTATCTTTACATTAATATTTAGATAGCCAATCTTATCCAACCTGATATTTTATTAAGTATAAAATTATCTGTGACAAACAAGTATATCCTTAACATCTGGTACAAATAAAACATCAAAAGGATAATGATTATAATATTTCATGTTTTATTCATTTTTAAAGAAAATGTTTACTTTGAAAATATTATTATAAATTTAATTGATCAAAGCTCAGGCTGAGCCAACTGAAAAAGAATTTATATTCCAATTTTATGTCCTACTAGTTGGTGGCCTTAGATAAATTATTTAACTTATTTAAATTTCAGTTTCTTCAAGTATATGTTTGGGGTAATAGAACTCACATCATTAGATCATTGTAAGACTAAATGAGAAATTTATACTTGGTTGAAGTGAATAACAAGGTGCTACTTCCATGATAGATGCTTGATAAATATAATTTTTAATGTTTTCTGTATTATTTTGATACTTTCATGGAATAACATGGGTATATCTTATTATGAATCTAATGTACAGATTTTACATCTTCCAATATTGATAAAGTGAGCAACCTATTTAATATTCTTTAAAATTTTCAAGATAATTTAGAAATTTTCAAGATAAGTTAGACCAGGGTGATACACTTATATTGGAGGCAATCTCATAGCCCAGGTCCGTTAAAATGTCAATGTCAACCAAAGAAAATGTAAGAATAGCAAAATCCTGAAATCTTGATTATATACCCCATCCTTTCTCCTTTTCCTTTCACCATCATAGCAATCTCTGCTAGTTGGCGAATCTTCTAAATCAAGATTTCAAGGCAGAGTTTATAGGGTTTTGTTCCACAGGTACAGTTCTCTAAATTTATGATGAAATATAATGGGAAAAAGTGGCTTTACCTAAATTGTTTTAGTTCAGATTGCATAAAATTTCGATTACACATGGTTATTACTCAGCCCTCTTTATGTGTATATGCTCATAGGATGCACATATATTTAGACTTTTGCTCTATTGACTTCATAATTGAAAGAAAAGAAAAAATATAATGGCTCTATTAATTATTTACATATTACATTTAATTCTACCAGATGCTGAAAAGAGCAAAAGAAACACTGATCGATGAAACTTATATATGGGCCAAGTTGCTGTTGCAGAGTGGAGCTTGCAACTTGAGGCAGAGTACAGTTGTGTTGTAGAAAACAAATACACTAACATTTTGAACCAAACTCAAAATGTGCCTAGAAAATTCTATAACATAGGATCAGGTAGTTTAAGTAAAGTTCCTGTGAAAGGTGGCATATGTTTTCTTGGATAGTTTAGTTTTTATCTTTTAAGTATATTAAAGCTCAAGATAAAGCTTTGTCTACCTTACAACATTGCTCTAATCTACTTATATCAATTCTGCCCTTTGGGGACACCCACACACTGTGTAACTCCAGAGACCCATATTCCCAGAGAACACCATGTGAATGGTGCCCCTGGAATTGCTCGTTGCAGTAGCCCTGCTGCTGATCTGGGTGCTCTGAATAACTTGATTGAATCTTTTCCATGATTTTAGTAATTTATCAGAGTGACTGTTGCTTACAAAGTATTCCCTTAGGTGATTTCTTTCTTTCCTTTTTCTTTTTGATGGAGCAGTGTGCAGTTATGGTGTTACAAAGTTATAACATTGTGGCAATAAATTTTAGAGCAAACGATAAAATAAGATAAAACTCAACTAGCCTTATGAAAAATAATTCTGCTCAGCAGGGTTTCTTTTTCAGGATAGTCAAGATTTTTCTTGGTAAAATGCATATATTAATGGACCATGGTCAATATAATTATATGACTCAATCTGTACATGTTCAGGAAATGAAAAATACTCTCTCTGTTTCTAATTCAAGCCATTTTTATTCAGTGTTATCCTGATAATCATTGCAAATAACAAAGGTCTATTATGGTCCTTTTTTATTTTGCTAATGTAAACAACAATCATATAAAGCTATGTAGCTACTTATGAATGCATTTAAACTGGAACTGTTTCATTTAAAAACAGAAAATTCACACTCCATCTAAACTCCCTATAGGACTCATAGGATTCCTCTTATAGATCTCATATATTGATCAGTTTCACTGGGACAGTTTTTCACAGTAAAAATCCCAGAGATCCACAATAAAGTGTAGGCTTCAAAGAGGGATGACATGTATTTTCCATCCCTTAGTTGTGGACCCTGCACTGGCCTGGAATTACATGCTAATTAGATGTTCTTCTCCCCGTCACCTCTTCTTATCTTCCTGAAGACCATAACCACACTGCATGCCCCTGAGAATAAGAGACTTCTTTGTGCTTCACTTACTTCACCCTGATCCAAGTCCTAATGGTGCAAGGATTACTCTGGAGTTACAGTTTGAGATGCTCAGGGAAATTAGGAAAGGATTCACTGGGAAAGCAAAACATAAGTTCTGAAGAATGAATCAAAGTTAGCAAGATGGGGGCAGGTCATGAGTGAGGGTGGTGGATGCTGTTCCTAGTAGAAAAACAGCAGGTGTAAAGGTCCATTGATGGCAGCTAGTGTGACAAGGATGAGGAACCAAGACCAGGCCACCGTGGCTGCAGCTCAGAACATCAAAGGGTGCTGGTGAGAGACGAGGCAGGAGAAGACTGCAGGAGCCTGGCCAGGCAGAGCTGTGGAAGCCTCATAAGGGATTTTAATTTCTATATTAACTCAAGATAAATAATTCAAGCAGGGTGGTGACATGATCAGCTCTGCCTTTTGAAAGGAACAGTGGAGCAGCAGTGTGGAGGAATGATGGGAGTGCTTTCCAATCAGGTGGCTTTGCAGAAGACTAGACAAGATGATGATGAAGGTGAAAACAGATGAGTGAGGTGTCAGGAATAACTTGCAGGTTTTATTATGATTATAATTAGGAGAGACAATTAGGTGAATGTATTGAACACACAGCACACATGCACACACACATACAAAGAAATAGTAAATCAGAGAAATAGTAAATCTTTTCTCTGATCATCCAGATGATTACTGGGCTTGTAATTAGGGGAATTAGGGAGATTTGGGGAATCCCAGCTTTAAAAGATAATAAAGGTGTTCTGCAAGCCATATAGCAAATGATCTCATATATGAAATTGTTAGGATAATATTAGACTAATGGGGAGATAGATGAATTGAGTTATAGCAAAAAAACAAGAACAGAAACAAAACTTATCTTTCAAGTAAGTCAATTTAAACTTACTCTTTTAGCTTTGCTAAACTTATGTTTTTCTTTTTATTAATATTAGCTCTTCTGTATTTAAAACTGAGGCTGGTGAACTACAGCTTAAGGGTCAAATCTGGTTCTCAGTCAGTTTTGTAGATAAAGTTTTATTGAGACACAGCCACAACCCTTTATTTACCTGTTGTCTATGGCTTCCCTTTGGCTACAAGCCCAGAGTGGAATCCTTGCAACAACAGCTGTATGCCCTGCAAAGCCTGATGTATTTACTAGTTGGCCTCAACAGAAAAAGTTTGCCAACTCCTGGGTTGAAGGATTTTTGCTTTCCTTGCTTTTATTCTCCTCTGCTAAATGTTGGTTGATAAGGTCATTTATATCCTTCCTTTCAAATAAATTTTGATATATTTTGTTTTTGGAATTTGATCTTTTGTATGGGGCCTCAAAACATGAAATTCTAAATACATAATAAAAATTTTTAAATATGATATATTCTCCCATATATTATTTTCTTGTTTCTTTAGAACAAATATGATTTTATATCTAATTTTGGGGGCCCTAAAATAATCACTCCAGTCAACCATTCTTACCATTTTGCTTTTGGGATTTTACTCTTTTTCTGATACATATCTCATTAGTAAATCTCTGGCATATTCAAAGACAGACATAGTCTCAAGATGATTACATATATAACTTGCAATTTTTATTGCACGCATTCCATTTCAGTACATCAGCTGCTTTATTAAAATATTTGGAAAATACATTAAGTACTGTGTCTAAATGCCTTACTGAAAGAATAAATCTAAAGGCTTCAGCTTAAAGGTTATAAAGCACTGACATGACGTGGTTGGAGCCTACTTTTCTATACAACATAATCTAATAGTCTGTAGATGCAAAGATACTCAATGAGAAGTTCTTTTAATTAAGTACATTTAGACCTAGATAAACTCATATGTATGTTTTCTATCATATTTGTTTTTACGTATTATTTTTTATGCCATTAATTGTATAAGTTAATGGTGACTTAATATAGGAGAAAATAATCAAAATGAAATACTACTTTATTTACATTTTTGAGAATTTTTAATGGATAATTATAGTTATTATTGTTCCATTCTTCTTCCTTCCTTGAATCTTTTTAATGAGCAAATAGTTATTAAAGTATGTTTTTTCTGAGTGGAATGATCAGTAGACAACAACAAGGATCCCCAATTTCTTTTCATCATTTTGATATATTTAGAGCACCTAAATGAATAGGAAATTATAGGTATTGTCTACCCAGCCATTGTCACATTTTATTAAATTAAATCTTATACATTTTACTGATAACATCAAAATATCTGTAACACACACCTAAGAATCCCTTAAGCTGTGAAAATGAAGGCCTTGCTGAAAGGATACATTAGATGAATTTTTGGAAAAATATCTAAGTGGTTTTATTCATTTACAAATGATTTGTTTAGCATCTATTTTGAATAAGGTGCAGTGGTCATATCCAAAAAATATAAATGAAGAGTTACAATCCTATACTCAAGCACCACATAGTATATAGAGAGCAAATAACTGATGCTTAAGAATTATTTATAGGATAAATACGAACAATTACAACACAGAATGCTACATAGTCATCTGTACATAAGCCATCTGCTTGTGGTAGGTACACAGGCCTTTGGGAGCACACATAGAACAAGAGCATCTCACCAGGAAACGGGGAGGAAGAATTTCAGGACCTGAGACTTGATGAGTCAGAGGAAGCTTTTCATGCAGACACAGAATGGGTTCGAGCATCGTGATTAGCATAAACAATGATACACGCTTGAACAAACGTAAAGGTTTGGGAAATAACATTTAACGTGTGATTATTGTGAGAAAGGAGAAGAAAGGAGAGAGTAGGCAGATAAAAAAAAAAAAGACCAGATTATGAAGGACCTTGTATTACTTTTTAAGGAGATTTTTTAGATAGTGTAGTATTTTTTATTTTTAGTCTAGTAGATGTACATAATTCTAAATATATATACACATACATATATATGTTTATTTTTTATGTAAAGAAAGAGAATGTGTGTGCTATCTAGATATATAAATAAAATGCATTGAGGTGGAGCTATGTGGTAAATTGGGAGAGTTTGGCTTAGAATTTCATACTCTCTGCCTCCTCTCGCTGGAGAATAGCAGGACTCACCAGTGATTATACATCCAACCAGACAGGTTCTGCAGAAGGATAGAAGCTTTCTGTTAGAGAACCCACAAAGGAAAGCGCCCAAATTTAATGTAATGCTTTTAAAACAATTAATTTGTTAGCATAGGATGATGAAAACAATTTGTACTAAAAAGGACCAGGGATTAATGATTAATGACTGTTCAGTTTTCTTTTTGCAGGCAATCTTTCTAAAACACTTACATTGGAACCTGTTCCAACAATGCTCATTGTAAGTCTAGGGCTTCATTATGGGAGATGAGAGTTGACCAGGAAGGTGAGGTGGCCAGGCTTCTGTAATTGCACTTTCCTTAGATAAAACAGATAAAAGTTCTTACAAAGACTGAATTTGAAATAAGGTACCCCTTTACTTTAAAATTTGAAAAACATTGCACTACTTAATAAGATATACAGATTGTGTTTTTTTAATTCAAGAACATTTATGGCTTTGTGATTTATTTCATTCGTTGTAGTAACTAGTATTTTTTTCCTTTGAGGTTTATGTAGGCAAAGTCTTACAAAAATTATCTTACTTGTTGGCACTTTTTTAGTATAAGATTGTTTCCTTACATAGCTGTTTTACAAATGCACAATACTAAATAAAACATACAAAATGCTGTTGAAAATGCCATGACAATTTTATGCTCTTCTATATGCTCCATTGCTAAGGAATTAGATGGCTCTTCATAAAAAGAGACTCTCTGTAGACTTCGAATCTAAGGCTTTATGACTTCTAAGATGCTGATTCACCATCATCTCACATACAATAATTCATCTGGAACCCATTGAGTGCACTGGTTTCACATCAGTTCAGTTAAGCCATGCGTCAAAACCTTGGAAAAAGTAAAACAAAACAGAAAGTCCTCAAGACAGTGTGCAAACAACTGCTAAAGCAGAAATTGTATGCAAAAATAAAAGAATATTATTCAGGTGCTGCTAACCAATAATTGATCGTTTCAGCCACATGTATGTATATGAGTTAACTTCAAAATCAGCATTATCTTCTTCTATACAAAATACAGTTGCATATCAGTGGAAGCCAAAGCACAATGTCAGTAAATATTTATGCTTCAGATTTTCTTAGGACTGTATTTTTTTTTTAAGAGACAGGTTTCTCGCTCTATCGCCCAGGCTAGCGTGCAGTGGTATGATCATAATCTTTAGAGCTCTATTTAAAGGAAAAAAAAATACACCTTTTCAAGGTGGAATCTGCCAAATTTCATCATCTTAAAGGGGCTTTTCCCCTTTGTAAGTGACATTAAGTTTTTTATCACAAAGAAGGAAAAGGAAAGATGTAAGAAATTGGTCAAAATCAGCACAGATCATGTTAAAACAAACACCCTCTGAGTTTGCTTCTGTTGGGATTTGGCTATAGTCTCCATGAACATGCTGTACAAGCTTCTTAATATGTCTCATTTGGAAGAACAAAGTGATTCTTCAAACGGAACCACTTTCTGCACTTTAAGTATTACTGGTAGTTGTGCTCAGGATACCTGTTGTAGTAGTGTGTATGTGCACACACACAAGCACACACCCTTTACATACGCATACATACTTTCAATTAAAAATGCAAAAACCAAATATTTTAAAGATCACCATGACTAGCACATACTAAGTTTTAAATATTTGTCAAATTTTGTAGGCATAGAAATATTTTTTATATAAATTTTGTCAGTAACTATGCCTAAGCTAGTATTAGAAGCAATAGAACTATTTTGAGCTCTCTATGATATATACTTCTGTACCCTGTCTAGAAGATTATCTTACCCCTGTATATATATATACACACATATTAGATATATACATATATATTTTACATACATATATAATATATACATATATATTTTATATACATATATTGTATATTATATATTATATATGTATCATATTATATACTATATATGTATGCATTATATAGGTATATATCATATATACATATATATATAACGTATAGACACGCATGCATATATATATATGTATATAATTTTCTCATGAGTAGATCCAGGGTTCCTTTGACTCAACCGGATATAAAGTAATGCATTGGTTCAGACTAGATCATTCTAGAGCTAAACTAAGAGGAGTTCTTTGAAAGACTTGATGGATTTCTCAAGCCATAAGAGGGCAACTGATTTTGATGAGAACAGAAAGCACCAAAATTGACAAAATAGATTTCAGTTAACATAGGCATTGATCTTTTGTGAACCTGAGCAGGGTGGCCTCGCCTTTATCTTTTCTTCTCTCATTATGAGTCATTTTTAGGACCAGGCATTTAGAGCACATATCTCTAGTTTCTGCTAAAATGAATCTAACAGTTAACACATTGGTACTTATGCTACAGCATATTATCACCTTCTGAAATAACATAACAGTTTTTTTTAAGCTAAGCAAGATGGTTAAGCTTGAAAATTTAACAAAACCCAAAGATGGAAAATGTAAAAGACCTGTGGATTTTCTTCCATGAGTGGATATAAATGCTAATGAAATGTTCCTTAGAACACATTTAAATTAAACCATGAGCTACCTTCAATGATTATAGAAAAATTGTTCAAGAAGGATTGAAAACTTAACTGCCATTAGATAAGAAAGTTCTAAGGTGCTGATGGGCCACATGCACAGCTCTGTAACTAGACCGAAGGTAGTTTTCCTTTCTCTGCATATTAATAATGACAGGTGGTGCTGGAGATAATTTTAACCAGATTATGGTGAGCTGTAGTTCTGATTCAAAGGCTTTTTTCACTGCCTTACTTGAATAGAGTATGACTGAACACACTTTAAAATTTATTTCTTTCCCGAAAGCATTTGAAGATTTTTGTGAGAGAACTGATGAAGTACTTGCTTTTCTCAAAATAAATAAATAAATAAATCTTTGAAAAACTTAAAGCGCTGATTTTTAAAAGGCATCTCAGACATTTGTGTGGTAGCTTTTTCTAATTTCTGAATATGAAGATGCCTGTTAATAGCTTCCAAATGGCAAAGTGTGTGTGTATGTATGTGTGTGTGAGCGTGTGTGTGTGTGAGAGAGTGTGTGTGTGAGAGAGAGAGAGAGAGAGTGTGTGTGTGTGTGTGTGTGTGTGTGTGTGTGCGTGCGCGCGCGCATGCATGTAAAGGATGCACAGGAAAATAATTTCTTATCCTTGGACTTTAAAACAAAGCCCTTCCTAATTGGCAAAATATGGAAATCGTTTTGGCCAAGAAATAAACTGTCTTTGGTGTTTACATTTTACAAGAAAATTTTTTTCTAAGCTGTGTTTTGCCTATCATCTGCCTCTTGGTCAAAGTCTGAGGCATTTGAATCTCATTCAGAAGCGTCATTACCTCTTAAGGAGGTTTTAAATCAATCAAACCTGTTTCTTTTACTGAATTCATATGTATGTATGTGACTGTGTGTGTGTGTGTGTGTGTGTGTGTGTGTGTGTGTGTGTGTGTGAACATAAGAAAAAATATACTTTTCCAATTTTTGACAGGCATGTTTAAGGCATAGTCACATTTGCTAAAGCAATCAGAAGCAAAAAATACAATCAAAATTCTCAGACACCAAGTTTAGAAACCAATTAAATCTAGTCAGTGTTAAGATTTCAAATTGACCCAACAAGAATTTCCTTTTCTAAAGCAATGCTAAATGTATTGTCATAACAAGGGAAATATACCCCATGACAGCACCAAGTCATTATTTTATTTAAAAATCATTTACATCTAGTTTCCTATATTCTGAGCATTTTGCAAACGTGCACCCAATCTTGATAACAATGATGTGAGATAGGAACTGTTACTGCCCCTGTTTTATTTCTGTGATACATGTGACATTGAGGCACAGATACCCCAAGGTCCCACAGCATATGAAAGGGGTGGACCCTAGATATGAATTTAGGCAAGCTTCTGTTTACAACAATTATTTCTGACAGCATCAAAATTCATGTACTTAACCATTATATTCAACTGCCTTAATCAAAGTGTCACCCTTTGTACTGAAAGTGCTTACAAGTACAGAGCCTCAGGACTTCCAGCCACAATTAAATAATCCTGAAGAAGAAAGGTGAGAGCTATATGACTCTGCATTAATTTTTTCTGTCAGATTTCCCAAAGTACTTAAAATGCATCGCATCTCTTATAAAGCTTTTTCAAGGGGTGATGGATTTGATATAATCCTTAACCAAAGTAAGGAGAATATAAGAGCTATTGTGGGCATAAGTCTTAGTCCACAAACTCAAATGAAGTAGAAATATTCTTAAGTGCTCCGTAGCTTAATTTAGTTTCTAATGCAGAGCTTCCCTTTGTGGCCCTACACTAGGTTTCTGCTCTATCCCTAGAGTCTTCCACAGTGTCTGGACATTGGGAGGGAGAAGGGAGATGGGCCATCTGCTCTAGTCCCTGTCTCATACAAGTTGCCAATGAGATGACTAGTTCTGAATGCCTCTTCACGTCCTCTTAGCTTTCTGCTACTTTGTGTCACCTGTGAGAACCAAAAACCTTTTGCAAGGCTGCATATAATCTGTCTGCCTGGATCTACCTGTTTGGTGCTTCTCCAGTGGTGGTACTCCTGCATCAGCCCCCAGATAATAATATCTCTTTCCTCCCCCTGCTGCCTTTCTCTCTTCTTCTTCCTTTTCTTCTTTTTCTTCTTCTTCTCCTCCCACTTCCTCTTATCCTTCCCCTTCTCCTTTCCCCTCCCCTCTCCCTCATCCTCTCCCTCCCCCTTACTCTTCCCCCTTCCCCCTCCCTCTCCTTCCCCCTTCCCCTTTTCCTTTCCCCCCCTCCCTTCTCCTTCCCTCCTCCCTCTTCCCCTTCCCCCCTCCTCTCCATCTCTCTCTCCTCCTTCTTCTTCCTCTTCCTCTTCTTCCTCTCTCTCTCTCTCAATGTTTGGGAAAGAATCCTAGCATTTTCTCCAATTATCTGGTCATAACTCCCTGTCAATGCCAATGAATATCCTTTACAAAGAACTTCAGTGGTTAGAATACAAAATCAGAGACTCTCAGTTTATTTGGGGATTCTGTCCTGCCACACTTTTCCTTTGAAGCGACAAGCACAAAGCCAAATATCTGCTAATATTGGTGAAAGGATAAAGGAGAAATACTAACCAAGGCATACAATTTCCTCTCAAAATGGTTGCCCTTCTCTTCAAGAATGCATGAAGAACTTTTTCTCTAAGGCCAAACTATTAGACGTTAAGTTGAATGTGTTTTGTCTTAACAGATATAAGGAAAGTGCTCTGAAAAGAACAGTATTTATCTTAATATTAGTTGCACTGTCAGGTCAGAAAACAATGCTGTTTAAAAAAAGCACTGCTCTATTTATCAAGCCAAAATTAAATGGTATACCCAGTATGCAGACCTTTCTCTCTCTAATGCCATTCTCAAATAAAAGGAGCCAGGGCTCCTTGGAGAAATGGCTGATTCTAGATGTGCAACAGGGAATACACAAAATAAACCTGGAGCATCTGGTAGTGTCAGAGAAATAAGAAAGTACTAAAACATGTACACAATCACACACACACGTGCATGTGCACACACACACAGGAAGATGGGGGTATGTCAAAGGGACATTGCAGCCAAAAGAAAGGGCTCTAAATAACCAAAGCTAAAACAATTTGAGCAAGAAAATAAATAGCATAGTATTAGATTATAATCTGAGGTATAAAGTAAATATCTCTAAGTCTATTCTGATATAAGTAAATGATTGAATACATGAATTGATGGGGGAGGATAGACATATCTCCTGTGCAGCAGTATTCCAAATAATTGATGTAGATATTCTGCCCTCAAGGAGATAAGGCATGACTATTCATTCCTTTAGTGTGGGCTTCCCATAATGACTTCTTTCCAAATAGTACAGTATGGAAGTGAGGGTGAAAGAGTAATTTTACAGTGGAGAAACCTGAAAAACATCACTTTAGCCAGATAACTAAGGATATATCAACAGGGGCAAATCATGTTGAAAGCATTTACTCTTGATATGATGTGATAAGAATAGCACTTTACCTCTGTTGTCTCCCTCCCCAAAACATAGTACCCTAGTCTGAGCATGAGGAAAACCGACAAACACAAATGGAGGGATATTCTACAAAATATCTGACCAGTACTGTTCAAAACTGCAAAGGTCATCAAAAGCAAGGAAATCTGAGAAATTATCATAGTTTAGAGGAGCCTGGGGAGATAGGACAACTAAATGTGGTATCATGGATGAGACCCTGGAACATAAAAAGAATAGTAGGTAAAAACTAAGGAAATCTGAATAAAATATGCCCTTTAATTAATAATCATGTATCGATATTGGTTCCTTAGCTATGGGAAACATACCATACCAATGTGAGATGTTAATAATAGAAGAACTGGTTGTGGGTATATGGCAACTCTCTGTACTTTCTTCAAAACCTTTTGGTAAATGTCAAACAGACTTTATTTTAAGAAATACAGTGGTACCCAAACAATCTCTGGATGGAATGAATCATGTCACCGAGTTTGCCCTGATCTGTTGCCCTGTCTGCATCCTTCAGCTTTCACATGGTAATGGGATGGGAAGGATTCTGTCTGTGACAATAATTGAGGCATGGGCAAATGTAAGAATGAAAGCTGTAACATTTTAAGTTTCTTATTGAATCATTTGTTGGCTCCAATCAATATACAGTTAGAAATTAGAAAAGAAAATCTAGAATCAGCATATTTTCTTAAATGATTATTTTGCCTTTTAATTTGTATTTGTTTGTTTAAAAGCCTATAGTCGCATACAACTTGGGAGCTTATGGAAAAATTGTTAATACTGTTAGTGTATTTTTTTTCAACTCAGGCATATAAAAGATACTATTGCACAGTTATTAAAAACAAAAGAAAAACAAACAATAACAACAAAAAAAGCAGATTGAATTCAGATAAATGTATTAGACCTAATTAGAAATAGCATTAAAAAACAAAGACAAAACAACTAAGAAACAAAAAGCCTAAGAGAAAACTTTACACTTCTTAGATGGAATCACAGCTGTCCAATGCCAAGACACTAATGCATTCTGCATCAAACAGATTGCAGAGGAAAATACAATCTTATTTTAGATGCAGTTCAGGTTTTGGGACCATCCCCCACCTTCTGAGGTCATTTGCTTTTTAGTTCATGACATTACATAGACATTGCTCATACCTCATTAAATGCCAATTGAGTTTAAGTGAGGTAATAAAATTCTTTTTTATTTTTTTATTTTTTGGAATGTCTGTACAGCACATTGAGAGGCATTTCATTTCAGAGTTTAAAATATTTAGTGAGCAGGTGGCTAACTGCCAACTACAACTTACTACTTAACAGCTCTCAGTGAAAAAACTCTGAAGAAATCAACATCAGCAACTCTTACAGCTCCTTCAGGCCAAGGTTTGTAGGTTTCTAAGTGTGTTAGGAAAAGCCTACGGTATGTGGCAAGGAAATGACATGAGTGAGACGTTAAAGAGCAGATATCAAGATCTATGCCAGCATTTGACCTTTCAGCTTGCACCTTTGACTTTTTCTTGTCAATTAATACTCTTGCTGGTTACAGATCATTTTATAACTTGAGATGCAACTCTAGACTTGTTTTAGTTCCAAGATGTTGAGGTATTATTATTATTATTATTATTATTATTATTACCATTATCAGTTTGTTTTTATTATTAGCTTTACTAGAAGTGGGACTTTGAGGTCCTCTATTTGAATTTGCTTTGAAAAAGTGGCTCTAGAGGTATTTTTATTCTTAGGATTTCTTTGGCATTTTTCTATTTGCTATTTGTTGCCGTGTTAATAGAAAAGTGTAATATCTGAAATTGATTGGCAGTGTTTGAAATTATTATCTGTAACAAATTTCTGAAACTCAGTAACTTCAGGAAAACTACTAAGAATGACGCTTTACATTCCTTTGTGGAACAACTGAAATAAGATATATATTGCCAAAGAAGATCCTATATACAACCCAAAAATGAATTCACAGATTTTGTAAACTCTTATTAGGAGTAACACTGGGCGTTTACAAGAGGGCATCTCCATTCTGAAAAAAGCACAGCCTCAGATTCCTAAATTTCATGCTATGCACTGTTCCATCTTACATGGAGAAATCATGTCAAAAGGAATGGGGGAAATGATCTTAAAGCAACATCTTAATTAAACTGTTTATTAGTCATTGATTTCCTGGCAGGTTAGAGTTACTTTTTTTTTTTTTTTTTTCACAGTGGAACACCCAATGAAAAGAAACTATCTTAAGAATTATAATAAGTAGGCTAAGATAGGAAGAAAAAATATTATTTCCAAGTTTCAGTTGGCATTAAATGACTCTGGTAATACCCTTGGGTCCCAGATGCTACATTATTTTTTTTAAATCAGGGAAGAATGGACTACAAAATCTCTCCCAGGTCTAAAATTATTTTATTCCATAAACACAGATATTATTACTCTCTACAAAATTGTCAGTTAAGAATAGTCTAAGAGTAGTTAAATCACTGTCTGTCATTATCAATAGAAAAAAAATGTGATTCACTTTAATCTATGACAGTATTACCATTCTCTGCCTGCTAATACATCCATTGGTCTTAATTCTGTTTTTCAAATCTTTTACACAGACTTTTATCAACATTGGAATTTAGATGCAAAGTGTTTCTTGTTTCAGAGATTAGTGAGATATTATTTTTTAAAATTCTTTTTACCAGGTTTTTGTATTAAAGCAAGTCATGACTAAATTTGCATGCTTGTAAAATTTATTTTCACTTTAAGAAATTTGTTTAGATATTCATTAAGAGAGAAACTTTGAAATCTGTGGATCCTGAGAGACTTGAGTGTTTCTATAGATCATGCATGCATAACAGGGGTAATATTTTTCCTAAGGGGCAAAAAACGTGTTTTTGGCAGGCGAGGGGGAATAAAAAAATCATAGCTATTGCAATGGTTTGTGGCCTTATAAAGAGCCTTAGTGCATAAACAAATGTATGTATGACTGTGGCAAATTTTATAGAGATTCAAAAAAATGTTCAAAAAGTTTTCTTAGAAAGATGATAATAAAACTCCAAATCACTGAAAAACCAAAGCAATTTAAATGTATTACATAGTTTTAAACCCTCAAAAATTTATCTGGGTTAGAAAGCAGAGTGCCAAGTCTCTTCCCAAAGCAAATTAAACTGGCTGAGTTACAAACCTCTCAAAAATTGGATTTATAATGAGTATGCAGGCAGATCTTTAACTATAGAGACTCCTGAGAAGACTGAGCTACTCTAACATTCTTTGTGAGCCTAATTGAAACTGATTGTGGTTGGCACCTTATAATAAACTTTAGTTTAAATGATTTTATCTTGGTTCTAAAAACAGTTTGGCCCCATGTGTTTCTAAAATGTGCAATAAAATTCCTTTATAATTCAATAAAGATAAGAGATCTACAATGTTGGATTTCTACTGTGTTCAACGTCCTTTTAAAATGCAAACATGAACTCAGCCAAAGTGTAGACCACAAAAGTCATGCCTCTCCATCTTCACCCTATGTGAGTGTGTGTGTATACTTGGGAATTTCTTTGCTTTTGCTTTCTTACGGGCGAAATCCTTAAGAGAACATTCTTTCTTTAATTCTGTATTTAAGCAAAAACTAAGGGAGAATATGACTTGCCATCCTCAAAACTGATTTTATTTTATAAATACTTTCAAGAAAATTAAGACTTTTCTATACTTAAAAATCATATTCTGCCATTCATTATTACCAGGAAATAATATTGGATTCTGTTGAAAAGAATGTGTGTCCAATACGTGATCAAGTAGTTTAATATGGTAGCAATTTACCTTCATGCTATTTATTTTACATGTTTTGCTAATAACAATGGTGATCAACTATACTCTATAAGAAATGTGGTGGCTGGGCGCGGTGGCTCACGCCTGTAATCCCAGCACTTCGGGAGGCCGAGGCGGGCGGATCACGAGGTCAGGAGATTGAGACCACGGTGAAACCCTGTCTCTACTAAAAATACCAAAAATTAGCCGGGCGTGGTGGTGGGCGCCTGTAGTCCCAGCTACTCGGGAGGCTGAGGCAGGAGAATGGCGTGAACCCAGGAGGCGGAGCTTGCAGTGAGCCGAGATCGTGCCACTGCACTCCAGCCTGGACGACAGAGACTGTGTTTCAAAAAAAAAAAGGAAATGTGGTAAGCAAATGATGATACCAATTATACTAACAAAGCTGAAATTTTAACAGCATCATTGTAAAATGCTTCTATTATAATGAATCTATCAAGTTCCGATGATCATATGACTTATTTTGCCAACATCACTCCATAAGTCATAGCCATGAAAGAATAAGAGGCAAATAAAATGTATTTTGCATCTATGTGCCATACATTTTGCTAAGAGATAATCACATCCAAAAATATGGGGATTGAGTCACAAAATAGGAATTTCAGATAATAGAGCAAATCACTTTAGAAAAATAATGAAAAAGTATTATAGCTCATGTTTACAACCCTGATATTAAGACTTATATCACAATTTTTTATTTAAATGAAGGTAAAAATATTTCAAGTTTTGACTTTTTAGTTTAAACCTAGAAAAAAGATAAACCTGTTGAATTTCTGTTCATGACTTGCAAAAATGGCATGCAGAAGAATAAGGAAAACAGGTAAATAAGTATGAATAAAAAGATAAACTATTAATACAAATATGGACTTCATATTCTATTCACAGTTAATAAAATCATCTTTTAAATCTATGCAAGGACAGACCTAGAAACCATATGAGAATCTTGATTTTTTGGAATCTCCAAGAAAATAAAAATTGTGCAATTAACTGTATTATAACTAAATAATCTTATAAAACATTATAAATAATATTTTTATATAAATTGACTAAAATTTGGTAACAAAATACCTTTGTAATGATATAACCAATCGCTATGATAAGAAGAAAAACACAACTAAGTAGTTATTAAAACTGCAGATAATTCCACAGAATTTTGCTATGAAATCTTTATTACCTCAACAGCTTAGCACAGGCTATAGCAATTTTAGATCAGAAAGTCAGCAGAACTATGTCAGGAGCACCATACTAGAGTCACTGGCATAAGTGTACTTGCTACATGCCTGAGTGACATCTGTGGCTTGTTTCTTTGTTTTTAAAGGAGATAGTTGGACTGGATGCAAGTTTTTGAAAGCTTTAGACCCTGGTCAACTTTGAGAAAATTATAAAAGCTATGGAACTGCTCCTCAGAGAACTCTACATGTCCTAAAATATTTCCATTTCAGGAACATTCTGGATATCCTTGAAGCCACTGTTTAGAATCCTCAGGACCATTGGTTCTATGAACTTGGGGTTCAACAACCTTGAACTGAGATTATTTTGAAGATTCATCTATGCAATTTATGCTTCTTTGTTTCTACGCCAAGTTCATTCTAAGTACCATGGATTGCCTGACCTTATATTTTGAAGCAGAGATCAAATGGAATCCTTTTACTTAATTATATTTATGAAACACAAATAGGCTCCAGCTTACTCAAGGACAAGTAAACCATAAATATATATAACTATGTTAAACTCTATAACTCTTATATGATTCAGGATCACAGATTGGAAAGATTGTGTAATTATGACAATTTAATTTCTGGTTTTAAACTTGAATTTTCTTGATTTATAAAATAGAATGTAAAACCACCAAGGCAAGATATATGTGAGATAACTGAACACATGCATGCCCACATTCATATATATGTGTGTATAAAAGCCCTCCAGGACATGGTTTTTCATAGGCAAGAGAATATATCCATAAATACATACTTGTAAACATGCATGTATGAATAAATGTATGTTTATAAATACACATGCATGCATAAATATATACATGCATGTGTGTATGTCCTGTTGGGGGTGCAGGACTTAGCATAAATGCCTGCTATTGAAGTTCCCTACATAAGGTAGCTTCTGTTGTTTTCAGCAAAGTCCCTGCTAGCATATAAAACACATTGTGCATAATAAAAAAAAGAGCCCCTTCTGAGTGAATACAAAATACATCAAAAGATATCTGTTTCTCCTAGCTGATACAGGCCAGTACCAGGGGTCAGAACTGGATTTCAGCTCTTACTCATGCCTTGAGCTGGCCATTAAAAAATAGATCTGCAAAACAGTGAGCTACTGTTGCTCTGGTTCTTGCTATTTCCTACATCGGTAATCCTCAAAGGATGGGCCAGGACCAGCAGCAGCATCACTTGGAAAGTTATTAGAAATGCAGTTCTCAGGCTCCACCTGTCTTACTGAATCAGAAACTTGGACAGAGCCCAGTAACTGTGTTTAAGAGACCCTCTAGGTGATTCAAACAGCTGCTAAAGTTTAAGAACCACTGCCCTACATCACACTCCACTCCCCATTACACCAACAAATGATAAGTAGTTAATGAAAGCAGACTCTCTCCTTCACCTTCCTCCTCTTCCTTCCTACTACCTATATTTCTCATTCAAAAAAAATTTACCATGAGCTGCTAAAGAGAGGTGGGGATATATATGCATTATAAATAAATTATAAATAAATACATGTTAAAATATAGTTAAAATAAAATATGTTTTATTATATAAAATATAACATGCGTCTCAGCTTAATGTTATATATTTTATTTCTTCTAAGTTTTACAGCCCCTACTGACTACATTAGAATAGTGATAGCTGATTATAATTTCATGGGGACCCCTCAGATGACCTTCTGACCCTATGATTTTTATCTGTGTCTTTCTGAGCCCTTCTAATAAAGCTCTACCAGTGTGCAGCAGGATCCTTACTGTCAAGTTACTCAAATCCCCATCTATAGAGTAAGTCATTTAGGTAGGACTGTAATTTCAGGTTGATCCCAAAGTTTCCCTTCCATGGTCTGGTGTCCTGTGAGGTGTACAGGCAACTAGGTTGATGTCTTGAAGACATGCAAGAGGTGTAGTGACCAAGGTCAGGGTGATGACTGACTGAAAGCCTTCGAGGTGTGAATTTCTTTCATAAAGCTGAGTGGAAGAGATGTGCCTTCGTCATTGATTCTGAAACCCCTCCATCCTCAATGAGCCGACTCTAAAGATTGCTGAGTTTCAATTTGCATTATTGATGTTAGCTCCTATCCAGTTTTCTTCCCTGTCATCCTCATTTGTTATAAAGAATATAAACTAATACGAGAGTATAGCTTCAATAACACAAAATGAAATAGAATGAAACATAAGGAGAATGCTGTGTTTTTTCTAAAACTCTTGTTGGCTGAAAGAAACGTGACGTCTGTCTCCTCAACAACAGAATGTTACAACAGCAGGATTTCAGAAGAACCCATTTATTAAATATTTTGTATATTAAACTAGGATTGTTTATAACATAGAAATATAAATGAGAAGTACACAAAGCCCTTCGATAGAAAAATTGTGAAAAAAACCTCTTACTCCTTTATTTTTAATGTATGAAATGTTTCTGGCACTGCTTGTTTTTAGTAAGCGTTTGTGTTTCAGATTTCTGTGTATTATTCTGTATTTTGGAATATTGATAATGGGACTTACCAGTTCTCTCTACTGTTTTATTCTAAAATAACTTTTTAAAAGCCAGGCAATACAATGATATGAGCTACAAATATGTAGTTTAAGTGCAGTCCATTCTTAATATTGTCTAATAGTCTAGAAATATCTGATGTTTTATGTTACTACAATCAGTAAGTTTCTGTTTGAAAGGATTTGGGAAGCTCTTCTTTACAGAATGCTAAAAAGGAAAGCTTATTCCTGGCTTCATCACCATTCCTGTTGCCTTTCATATCCCACCCCTCATGCTGCTTGTTAATTCCACAGAGAACCCATTAGGGTGCCTCACTGTGCGCGGCCTTCAGGTTCAACCTCTGCTCTGCCCGTTCCCTGAATCTACCATCTTCTTATCCTAGCCTTCATGCATCTTCAGTTTTGATTATGATTCTTTAATTTAAGACAGTGGTTTAAATGCATCAGTTTTATCAAGGTGATAAGTCTTTGGTACGTTAAGTGTAAACAGTTGGCTCGAGACTGGGTTAAAAGATTCACCAGGCACCTCCAAGTAGATTTCAAGCAAGGTGTCTCACCCTAACCTGGGAAGTTAAGGATGTTAAATTATTTGATAAATTAAGTCATTAGTACATCCTGGAAAAACTTAATGTCCATTTTCATTAATAATCAGTATTTTTGGTCAGTGTTCCCAGAGTTGTCTAAATTTCTTTATATATCTAGATGCTGTGCTTTCAATGATTCTGTTCACTCAGAGTCTCTACTCAAAGAGCTGATAATCTTCTCATTTACCAAAGTTCCTTTAATGTATGAAAAAACATATTGCCAAACAAAAAGATGAGACTCCAATTATTATTGAAATAGCTTTTATCTGATTATAGACACTTAGCCATTTGGTCCAGTAAAAGTCGCTTTATAGAAAATTTCTGAACTGTTCAAATATTACCATTCCTAAAATTTCAACAGCTTAACTTAGGAAGAACTTTAATATATTAACCTTCCCAAATGACATGCCATTTTAAAAAGGGATTTTAAATGAATGCCTGAGATGAGAATTGAAGACCATGTGGCAAGTCCATAAGGAATACGCATTTGAATAGTTGGACTGCCCATTTTCCGGCACTCACAGCTGTAATTGTTAGTAACTTTTTATAAAAAAGTAATGTCCATTTTTATCAAAGGGAAACACTCACATCCTTGCCTATCGGTGATCATTCTCTTTTTACCTTTATATTTCTTATTTCCTGTTTAGAAGCAAATGAAGGATTATGGAGTTTTGCAATATTAGGACTAGGTGACAGCTCAGAAAATATCTGTTCCAAGTGTATTAAGTCCCAGGGGTGTATTGCCCATGGTCAGAGAGGAAATTAAGACTGCTGACATAGCACCATATCTTCTCCATAGGTCCATTTCTCTCTCCTTTATACTTTGACACCTTTTAAGTTTTATTGAATAAACATGAAAAGCCAAGTGACTTTGTTTTTCTAACTTTGAAGAGTTATTCAGAGTGATGTTTGTTTACGTTCTTGGTGTTAATGACAATGTCGGATAATACTACTCTAGAAATTCCCTAAGTAACTTTACCACCATATATAGTGCATTGTGCATCACTTCAGTTGAGAGAAAAGTATGACTAATGCAGCATGCATCAAAATTAATTCTGTCAGGAACTACTGTGTATGAGTCACAGAAGCCACAATACTGTATTTAGAATAATAATAAGACAAGGAATAATGGCATCCTAAAATTTAATGAGGTAGTTTAGTTTAAATGTACACTGTTAGTTTGTGTCAACCTACTGCCCATTGCAAGCAGCACATTTTTTTAACAACCTTGTGCAATGGGGCTGTAAATTACTATAATTAAATTAAGCCATAACCGTATCCAGGCAATATGAGGTATTTGTACTTTGTTTCTGTAATCATATTATCTGCTCAGAACAGAAATTACAATGAAAAAAAGAAAACAAACATTATCATCCATGTCATTTGTAATTTTTCAAGAAGAAAGCAAAGCTATGTTTGAGATTATCCACCCATTTTCCAGGTACATCTATCACAAATCCCTTGCCTTATCATTTAACTTATCATTTAACACATCTTTAACTGGTTCTTAAACTTGTAAGCAAAGCACAATGGTGGAGGGAAGGTTTCTTCAAATAAGCATATCTATATGCCATTTGATTTGCTTCCAATCTCATGTTGAGATGATGAGCAGATGGAGAGAGATTAATAGTTTGATTTCTTGGGATGGTAGAGATTTTGATAGAGAAAACCATGAATCCTGCAAGCAATATAATAAAGCTATCATCTTCTTGTTATTACTGTCATAGCTTCTCTAAAATTTGTGTTGTGCTGAGACTGTTTTATGTGGATTATTTTATTGAGTATGTGATGGTTTCCCCAGGGCATTATCATGGAAATTAGAAGGAGGTGCTTTTTGAATAAAATGGGAAGAGGTATTAGTCATTTGATCCTTTCTATTCCTTCTATCTTTTGTAACATCTGATAACACATCTGATATAGTTTAATAAATATTGGTTTCAGCCCTGACTTCCCACTAGACAATAAATTCTTGAAAGTTAGAGCTACAGTGTATTCCAAGAAAGTACTAATTGTCTAGAATAATACAAGGTAAAATATAATCGGAGCTTGATAAATATTTGTTTAAAGAATACAAAATTAATGTAAGAGATGAGATGTGTTTTGTTCAGACATATTATGCTTTACAAACTCTAAACTGTATTTTCTCACTTTCAATCCCCCTGTTTACCTCTTTGTGTGAGCTAAAGGATAAATGGTTGGAAATGAGAAGTCATGAAACTTGCCATGTCATTTGTAGCTTCAACAACTATTTTCACTGTTAAGAAAATATGAACCTCAAATGTTTATCACCTTCAAGATCTGGTTTCCTAATTCATCACTGTTGCCTTCCTTGTCTAATTCACTTATAGCTCATGTTCTTTGACTTACATGGTAGTTACATCACAATAACTCATCATAAGTTGAAAATGTATTTAATATACCTAACCTATCAAACATCAGAGCTTAGCCCAGCCTACCTTAAATGTGCTCAAAACACTTATATCAGCCTACAGTTGGGCAAAATCATCTAACAGAAACCTATTTTATAATGCAGTGTTGAATATCTCATATAATTTATTAAAGACAATTCTGAAAGTGAAAAACAGCATGGTTGTATGGGTACTCAAAGTACAGTTTCTATTGAATGCATATTGCTTTTGCACCATCATGAAGTTGAAAAATTATAAATTGAACCATAGTAAGTTGGAGTCCACTTGTATTGAAAATCTGGATGCTGGTGTCACCAAACATATTCATAATATATTCACTAAATTTTTTAACATGGTATATAATTGTGATTACTCTAATTTGTCCCCTATCCTCTTTCTCCATAAGAAATAGTAAGTAGGGTCCAGTTCATGACCTGATCGTCATTGCATTTCCCTCTTTGGTCATATGTAGGGCTATAATTATACAAGAACTGAAATGGACAATATCAATAGCAAGTGCACAGGCATTTCTAGAAAGATAATTGAATGTTTGGTATGGAATTGTGAGGGGACTTTTATCAGTTAATATTAATATATACTGCTCTTACAGCCAAGTTACATTTGCTTTGTTAGTTGATCCTGCCTAAACCTTGACCTTATTCAGTAGAACTTCAGATGCATAGAGTTAGTTGTAAAGAGTTGCAGCCAGAGTGTTCATGAATCAGCCAAGTTCCTTGAAACATTCAGGAAAGAAAAAAAAACTAAGCCAATTCCCTGTAGGGTATGTTATCACCACCAATTACAGAATGTCAGGATGTCATCACCACCAATTAGAGAATGACACCAAGTAAACACTTTCTAGATGGAATTACATGAATGTGGCAAAGGGTTGTGGAATTTCCCTCAAAGGAAACAGACCGTATAGAATCATAGAGGTTTTTTTTTTTTTTTTTTAAGAATTCTTGTTCATGGTTCACTGTTTCCTTGATATCACATTAATAGCTAATGGCTTAAAATGTGAAAAATGCATTTAAATACAAATACCCAAGTATTTAGTAGAGGAGTTATGTTGCTTTGTACATTATTCTTTAATGTGGTAAAATAGCAAATAGCAATACCATTAATTTCAGTCATGTGAGCTAAAATGAACCATGATATACTATTTATTTTTCTTATCACTGAATATATCAGGCAGGAGTCTACTTAGTTTGAAAATCTCATTTAGAATATCTTCTACTTTATAATCCCTGAGCATAGAAATTGATAGTATTTAGTAAAAGAGAACACAGTGTAATACAATTAGAAAATAAATATTTTTATGTTTATCTTCCTGTAAATGAGAGCAGAGGGCTAGAGTGCATTTTATCTAATCACTGTATTATTCAAAATTGATGATGTTTTCAAAGTCCTGAAGATTTTATCAAACATTTAGCTGAACTCTAGGCAGAATAATATTTTCTAGAAACAACTCATTTATTTTAGAAGCAACATTATTTTCTGTTGTTTTCATTAGACACATACCAAGTATCAGTACATAATTTTCTATATTTATAAATTTCTGGTTGCAAGATTTAGATAAATATTTCTTCAGATTAATATCTTTAGAGAAAATAGATATCATTTTTAAGAGAATTACACACCTGCATTCTATATGCCAAGCACTTGCTAAGTGCTAGCACATGTGCCATCTATTCATTGTTTTAAATAACATTTAAAGAGTTACCATTGTGCCCATTTTGCAGATGACATCAGAGTCACATGCTAGTGAATGGTAAGGAAGGGATTAGAACCTGTTAGTATGACTCCGAGAGCTTGAGCTCTGCTCTACTGTGCTCTCTTTAATCTCTAAGTTCTTTGTTTTGTCCTTGGATCTGCTACCAGTTTATTCACTGAAGAGTAATTTACCTTTGTGAATTTCAATTCTCTGATTATTAATATGGATATTTTAATTTTGATCACTTCAGAAAATAAATGTCATTGAATGTTGTTGAGGTAGCTATGAGAAAGGTACTACCATGTACCTTATTTGGAATAAAAATGAACGCAACATTTTTAAAGAGCAATTTGGAAATATGAATCAAGGCTCTTAAAAGTATGTATGCCCTTTTTTAGCTTGGCCTCCCACAGCTAGTTATGTGTCCTGAAGGTATAGTCAGAGGTGTGAATAATGATTTATGTCTAGATTATAGCTATCTTTGAAGAGAATGTTCAGCAAAATCAATAAATCTAAAATTTGCAAATTGCTAGGTAAGTTGATACGATGTGGCGGAAAATGTTCTCAATTCCAAAACATGCAGGTAGTAAAGTCTGTAGTTGAATTAGTGACAGCCTATGAAATTCAAAGTGTTGAATATTTTAATTGGTTGTATCCAGTAAACTAAAAAGTTACTTTAAGAAACAGAAACAAGAGTAGTATCTGCATAGGGATATGCCCACCTTTGTGTGAGAAAGTCCTCTAGAATTTAAGCTTACAACAGAAATGCGTTACTCAGTAGTAGCAAAGAGTCACAGTGGCTGAAACCATTGAAGCCAATGACAATGGTGAATTTAAAAAGAATGAGATTCAAATCAGTAAAATTGTAAGAGAATAAAGGTAAAAGAAGACCTATTGGCTATTATTGTAATAGCTAATCTTTTACTTGCATTTATAGCTCACAGAATATTTTATTATATTTTCTTCATCTTCACTAACCTTTCTAAAAAATGATATTTATTTTTCTCTAAAGATATTCGTTTGAAGAAATTTTTTTCTGAATATGGCAACCAGAAATTTCTAAATATAGAAAATTTTGTGTTGATACTTGGCATATGCCTATTGAAAACAACAGAAAATAATGTTGCTTCTAAAATGAATGAGTTTTTTCTAGAAAACATCTTCCTGCCTAGAGTTCAGTCAAATTTCCTACAGTTCAGTTAAATGTTCCTACGGTTCAGTTAAATGTTAGATAAAATCTTCAGGATTTAGAAAATATCAGCTTTGAATAAAATGGAGTGAATTATGGCACCTAATAAAATAGTTGTTACAGTGATTAAAATAGTGTCTCTTAGATAATGGTTTTATTAGCACCATTAGGACTAAAGTCAGATTTCTCAGGACTAGATAGATAATTTATAACTGATAAATAATATGTTTGTTCAGATATCTTGGTATTATGCTTTGGTATCTTAGATTTTAAATGAATGTATTATTATAATGCCATTGATTCTTACAATAGATTTTCCTTACAAACTATGATATACTTAATGTAAAATAACCTTATTTAACAAATGCTAGATTGAAATAATTTAAGAAATAATATTTTTAACATATATGCATAAAATGTAACTTGAAACTTCGAAGATTAACTCAGATAAAAACAAACATACTGAAAATTTTGCCACTAGTGAACTTCTGAAATTCTGTCTCTCTGGTTTTTTTGGAAACAGCACACCATGGTAGTCAAGAGGTATATTCTGGAGTCAGGCAGAACTGGGTCTGTGCACTAGTTAGATGAGTTCAGGCAATACACTAGCCACTGTAAGCCTGTGTCTTCATCAATAAAATGGAATAAGTTATGGCACCTATTAATACAGTTGTTATAGTGATTAGATTAGAAAATAAATGTAAAGGGCTTAGCACCATAATTAGCACACAGTGAGCACTCTCATTAAATATTAGATATTATTTTTATTATTAATATTTGAAGAATTAAATCTACACATTATGATATTACATTGGGGCTTTATTAAGGCATCATGAGCTATATCAGAAATACTTGAAAACATATTTAGCCTAGATATAATATCAGGCCTTCAGATGAGTTCAATGTCAGTGAAATTGACAACTTTAGCCTGTAGAAATGTCATAGAGTTATTTCTGCTTTGTAAAAAGGACAATCATAAGAAATACACTTTGAGCATTATCTCAGTTGGGAAATACTCCTATGAATTCAGGGTAATATAAATTGAAAATAGATTTTATCATGAACATCCAAACCATATTAGACGAGCTAGCATATAATTGACTGATAATGAACAAATGAACAGGAAGTGTGTCCTCTGGGTTTAGCCTGCTAACATTACATGAACTAATTTCTATAGTTAAGAGGTAATTGTCAGTTGAAACTATCTTTTCTTTGTACTTCTTGGGAATTATTTGATCATTACATACAGGAGCCATTATTTTATATCTCTACATCTCTCCACTGTATACTGTCTTCTATGCTAGAATGTTATCTTTCTGCACACCAACCCCCCCCTCCAAAAAAAAAAAAAAAAAAAAAAACAGTCAACATCACCAATTCTGTGCACTCTCCTGGACAAACCTTACCACTGACACTGGCCACTCATCTTCCCCATTCCCAAAACCCACAACTCATGACTGGTTGACACGACCCCTTACTTCAAAAGAAACCAACTCAAGAGCATCCTCCAAAATCAAGCTGAAACTTATTTTCAGAGGGAGACTTCATCTTTACTTAGCTTCCCCATTTCTATAATTTTTCTCATTGCCTTTCCCCTGAGAGCACTTTCTCAGGAAATTATTTTCTCAAGAATTTCTGTCTCAGACTCTGCTTTCAAGGACTCCAACCATAACAACCTTCCTGATTCTCCAAACCAGTTCTTAGACAGCAAACTCCATCTTGATATATCTGTTCCGCTACCTCTATTGTAATGCAAAATGAATCGTATTGCATGGCTTAGGTGTCTTTCTTCCCTACAAGGCTAATCTTCTTGAGAAAGGGATGTTGTTTTATTGTCTGTGGATTATGAAAGTCTTTCACATAGTGCCTGACACATATCAGATGCTAAATAAATGCTGTTGAACGAATAATTCAAAATATGCTGCTCTGTATTAGCACCAAGAGTGAGTTTTTTAAAAATATTCTAATCCAAATGCACAAGAATATTCACAAAAAAGCCCTTTAAAGATAAGCGGCAGTATTTCAAATATAAGGAGATTCTAGTTTTCCAAAACATCTTACACTGCATCTTAAAATCAGAATAATTGGCTTTTATCAAACCTGTGTCATTTTAATAAGGGCTCTCATGAACTTAATATGATTCTTAATAGAACACTGCATGTGTAATTAGATAAACTGTAACAGCTAAAGCTTTGTAAATATATTTAAAATCATAACAGATAAATGATAACAAAGTGAATTGTGAATTCCACTGAGGTCAAAATACAATGAAGAGACCAAGTAAATTTAATTTTAAATTGAACTCCTTTAGTATTTTCTAAACAATGCAAACAGTGTTAGTACCTAAAAGTCATTTGATTGCCACCTCAGTGTCTTTGTTTAAGTCGATGCCTATTTATTTTTATTAGTGGTGCTTTGATTGAAAAATTCCTAATTTTGCAATCCATATTTAAACTTCAGAAAAAACGAAAGCAAGCATTAGTGGTGATAAAACAAGAAAGTAAGGAACTCATCATGTGAATACTTTTCTGAGGCCATTTTGTTCTCACTAATATTGTGAAAAATACTATACTTAGGATTTTAAATTTTCTCTATAATTGCAATAGAATTAATATTCTACAGTCATTGGTTAATTCTATGCTTTATGATAATGTTATAATAAATGCCTATTAACTATAATTGACTAGAAAGGAGCAGGCAACCAGCATGTCTAATGACTAATTTGGGTATTCTGAGCAAGTACTTATGCACTTTCAGTAATTCTGTATCCACATGACATTTTTGGAAGGAAATCAAGTACATTGACTGTCACCTTAGGGTAGGGGTTTATTTCCTCTTTTGTTTCCATCTTAATTATGCAGCTTTGATTTCTGCAGTTCTTAAAGACATTTTCAAATTTAAAAAATTTTCTTAAGAGTAATTGAATGTGAGATTTTTGCTTCTATATATTTCTAAGCTTTTTCTAATCACAGTGAGGTGTGAAAGGGCTTTTTGTTTGTTTGCTTTGTTGTTGTTGTTGTTGTTGTTATGTTTTCCCTTGACCATCCCAGGCCTAAGGGCAGTGCCTCTCACAGTCTACTATGCGTATGAATCACCTAGGATCTTGTTAAAATGCAAACTCTCACTGAGCAAATAGGGAGTATGGCCTGAGATCATGTAATTCTAAGTAGCTCCAGCGTGATGCCAAGCAGTTGGTCTACTGACCACACTTTGAGGAGCAAGGTCTGAGCTCTGAGCTGCATATCCTTTGTAGTCCCAGACTTAGTCTTTACACTAAGACATTATACTAATTTTCTTCAACCAAAGAAAATTCCAAAGGATTCTAAGAGATGACATTTCAGAGTAATTGTCACATTCTACCCAGCTTGGACCTTCAAACCTGACTGTCAGCTTCAGCATTCCAGGATCCATCTCTGATTCTTTTGGCTTTCCACCAGGGGTAGAGCCAACCCATAGATGACTTCAGCAGTGACATTCTAGCACATTAGCACTCAGCAGTGGCCTTTTGAGATGTTGGTGAAATTTTCTGCCTACCAAGAAAGTGGAGTTGGCACGATGTACATAAACTTCATGATGACAAGAAGGCAGGATAGTTAGTGGCAGTTTGACAAGTCTCTCTGCATGAAAACAAATTAAGATGCCGTGACAGCTCTGAAAAAAACTGTTCTTTTTGGCATTTCCTTTTTTCCAATGTTCTCTGAGCATGCTATCTCAATTTATTATAAAGCTACACATACAGCCCAGGAATTTCTTTAGCAGCCAAGTCACACCTCAGAGTTCTGTCAGTTGTGAATAACCCTCAAGAATTTTTACTCCCTCGTCAAATGTGCTTGTGTAGTATTCCAGCCATCAGTCCTTTCATTTCAATAAAACTTTTACATTCCCAAGTGCTTTCACATCTTTGATCTTATTTCATCTTGCCTTCCGACTGAGTAAAATAGTATGGATAACCTTTTTTTAAATTCATTGACACAATAAACATTAATTAAATTCCTGCTACAGGCAAGGCTATATGTATGGTAGGTACCAAGGAAGATATAAAGATTAATAAGTCATGGCACTGCCCTCAGAGATCCTGAGCAGAGAGTTAAAATCATGTGCATAAATTGCAAGGTAGAGAGGCATAAGTGCTTCAGTGTGCTGTAGATCACATGGGAGAATTTATCAAAACATGTGATGAGTTCTAGCCCAGAGCAGTGTGTGAGAGGCATAGAAGGCACCACAGTATGATAACTTCATAGGTGGCCTTTAATAATGAGTGGAATTTTGAGGTGAGGTGTGGGCTGAAGCTATAGCAACACATCACGGAGTTCAGAAACAAGAGATACTGCTTGAGGAATACATAGCATATCATCTTTGTGTTGTGCATATTGTTATTTTTGTATTTAAAATATGAAGAAAGTAGGTTGATGTTGAAATATGGAAAGATTATATTGAAAAGATAGGGTTTAGACTTCCATTGACGCCCCTAAACATCCTCTTTTACAGATTAACAGTATGAGGTATGGAAATGAGATGACAGATCAAGGGTCAGAAATCTCATAAGTGGCAATATTGTTGCTAAAACCTAGTATCTGGACCTGCGGTTCTACTCTGAAGGACAGTGATATTCTGTATCCTAATGCCACCATCTCACTGCGGCCAGAAGCCCACTAACCACTCCGGGGTGCCCAGAGGGAGGGAGAAAGGTTCACTTCCTACCCCAGGGACAAGAAGGTTGAAGGCAACAAGTTACTTGCTTTGATCTGAAAACATATAAAAGATAGAATTTAATGCTCATTTAGCTTTGCTTTAGGAATTTTTGTACTAAAATACCTGGATTTTTATGTGACTTTTTTTGATGCATTTTTACTTTTGTAAACATTTTATCTATATTCATGCTTCATGTGCATGCTTTTTACAAGATGTATGACTTGCCACTAAAAAATAAAAATGTGTAAATTGCATTCGGCTAGCCATCATATTTAATTTTTTTCTTAAACTGTGTTATTACCTCCTAGGCACTTTCTGCAGCACAGTTGTTCAAGATAGATAATACATCGCTAGGGCTTTTCACAGCGAAGAAGGGGATTTTAATGAAAATGCCACTTTTAATAAGAAGCCTCAATAATATGTGGTCTTGGTTGTTCCAGCTGAGATATTAATGTCTGGCACTTTTTTTTCCCTATAAATCAGTAACAAAAAGATGGAAGGAATTTGGTTTGAAACACAATGCTAAAGAAGTTGGAAAAATAATTATCTTTAGAAAGGACATATAGCCTATATAAAGTAAAATTCTCAATATTTACTACATTATACACTATTTCTTTTATTTTTCATTTCTCATTGCTACAAAGCCTCAAAGCTTACATAAAAAAAAACTAGGAGTTGTCAGGCAGATTTTAATTAATGTATTTCTACTTTTTCAAATTTCACAGTTTTAGATTTGTTTCTAGAGTAAGGGGTAAAAAAAAAAAAAAAAAAAAAGACAAAAAGATTTAAAGTGATTCAAAATCTCCAGAAAAAGATTCAAAATTCTTCAAAGTGTTTCATTCTGTAGGGGCTTTGATTTCACACTAAGGGAAACCTGACCATGTCTAAAATGTAAACATAAAAAATTATTAAAATGCATATTTCTATATCCTTCTCTCCCCATTCCTACCAAATGCCCAAATCAACCATTTGGGAAGAATATATATAGTTGAGAAGAACAGGGTGAGTAATACACCTTCTCATTTTTTAAGCCCAAAAGACGAAGAAAATCGAGAAAGTTTGAAATCTGGGAAAGTTATCCAAGAGTTACTTATTCATTCCTGCACTCTTGAATACGAACTGTGAGTCAGGTGATGTGTAGCAGGGAGACCCAGGTGGAAAGATTGGCAGGGGGCACTCATGATGTGCTTTGTAGCCGAGCAAGCAGATCGGATTTTATTTTCAGTCTAGAGCCCTCAGCGTACAGAAATATCCTTGATTATTTGTAAAGGAAAGGGCCTGGAAGGAAAGGACAGGGTGGATGTAAGCACAGAGATAGCACAAGCAACTACTGAAGTTAGCAAAATTGAGGTGCAGAACTCGGTGAGGGCTTAGCTAACTGTTAGCATACAGAAACGTTGTGAGGTTAAAGGAAAGGGGCTATGTCTATTTTATTTAATGTGGCCCTGTCTCCATTAAAGCACATGGAGATAATTATATCAGCTAGATTATGACAGAACCCACAGAAATACATCATACACTGTGAAACAGAGCATAATTTTCTTAGTGCTGTGATAATGCAAAACAATAATTTATCATGATAAAAATCAAAGAAAATGTGTCTTCTTGGTGAAAGATTTTTCTATTATGTCTGAGATTATCTTATCCATTCTTATTTTCTTTTTTCACTGTATGTCATTGCAAGAGGGTCTTGTATTTTACATCAGTGGGTAGTATTTTGAATATATTTGGTAATTAATAAACATTTTAAAGTCATTTCGTTGTCCACTAAAGTTCTGCTAAAACATATTATTCTTAAAAGGGCACTGGACAAACGGTAGTAAAACAATATTTATATCTCTTTTTTGTAGTTGTTGTTTTGTTTTGTTTTGTTTTTTGTAGAGATGGGGTTTTGCTGTGTTGCCCAGGCTGGTCTCAAACTCCTGAGCTCAAGTGATCTGCCGGCCGTGGCCTCCCAAAGTGCTGGTATTACAGGTGTTAGCCACCTTATCCGGCCAATGTACTTATCTTTTCCGTAAACTACCTGTCAGTTGTTAATCCAATCTCTTCATGTAAAAAGGGATTGGATTAGATGATTGCTACAAGTTAATTTAGGTGTAATATTTTTCTAATCCTAATCACAAATAAATTCACTATATTTCCAAACTCTTTTTGAATTTTTTATTTTATATGTTTACAGTTAGACATATGCCCTGATACTTATAGACAGGCCCTACTGGAAAATGTTGGTCCTACAGCCTGTGCACAGTTATAACAGAAAAATAAACAAAACCCAAGTTTAAAGAGCTCCATATCTTAAATAGTCATTCTGGGCTTAAGAAAAGTTAAATATTGACCTATTATTAAGTTACCAATTCATTAAAATTCTTTTTTTCTGATAATTATTCCAGCTATATGATTGCTCTTGTTTTTCTGGATGAAATAAAGACCATATTATCTTTGGGGCAACTCAGAAACATAGGTCAGCTCACACCTATTAGAGCCAATAGTTGTATGGTAGGTGAAGGGTAGAACCACTCAACTAAAGCCCAAAGAAAATCTTTATGCATTTTCACAAGACTTTGAGATCCCACAAGATAAAAGAGATTAGAAAAAATGGGAGGATCCTTGGTCTCAGATTTAAGAGTCTCTGTGATCATATCCAAAGCTCTGTGAGGATTTATATGGCATCACTTATATGGAAGGAAGAAAGGCTGTCTGAGCCAGGAATTCCCAATACTGCAATTTATTTTAAAAATACTCTGCTTTCAAGTTTGGGGGCATTAATGATACTTCATATTCTGCCTACTTGGAGTTGGACAGGAAAAAAGTATGCAAATAGAAATCAGAGGCTGAGTGTCTTTATGAATGTATCTGGATGAGCTTTTCCTCCAAACTATCTTTCTGAAAGTAGTAGTATACATTATGCGGAAAATAGTCCATGTGCAATAAATATTACCAATCTATTGCTATTACTATGTTTCACTTTTTAAAGGGTGATGGAGATTTGTGATGAAACCAAATATACTGTAGCCTATCTCCCTCCTCATTATTGGCATATTAAAGATTCTGAAAAAACTATTTAAATTTGTTCAACTAAATATTTTCCAAATGTAAACAGAACTTATTTTCATGAAATGAGTTAGGAGCCAAGTTTTGGAAATATCAGTCTAGCAATAGCCTGTGAGTAAAGCCATTTCAGCTAACTGTTAATGTACTGACTTCCAAATGTGTGTCCACATTGCACTAAGAACAGCAGGGTATACAAAAAAATGAGATGACAACCCTTTTTTTTTAATCTAAAATGGGAAGATATGGCCAGGTGCGGTGGCTCGTTACTGTAATCCCAGCACTTTGGGAGGCTGAGGCTGGTGGATCACTTGAATCCAGGAGTTTGAGACTAGCCTGGCCAACATGGTGAAACCCCATCTCCACTAACAAAAAAGTACAAAAATTAGCTGGGCGCAATTGCTCATGGCTGTGGTCTCAGCTACTCTGGATACTGAGGCAGGAGAATTGCTTGAACCTGGGAGGCAGAGTTTGATGTGAGCTGAGATCACGCCACTGCACTCCAGCCTGCGTGACAGAGCAAGACTCTGTCTCAATCAATCAATCAAATAAATAAATAAATAAATAATAAAATAAATAAAATAAAATGGGAAGATAGGGCTAATGCACAAAAAATAAAGACAACAATGTATAGTCACGTGCTGGATTGTTTGATACTGAATGCAATAGTTAGTGAGACATGGAGAAAAGGGTTTTTAGATCAGTCAGAGGATTTGACAAAAATGGAAGCAGAAAAATAAAAAAGTTTAGACTAGAAGTCAGTCATAAGAGCTCATGAAAACAGAGGCCTTGTAGAAGAGGTTGAATTTGAGTATGCCTAAAAGACTAGGAGACTTACCACATGCAAAGATAAGATGTAGAAAAGATGCTAAATAACAGAAGAAAACTTCTTTAACAAGCAGTGCGGAGCCATTGTACAATAAAAAGCAGAGCGGTGAGGTAATAAAAGCAATGCTTTAGGCAGATAACTTTGGAAAGAGTATGACCATTGGGTTGAATGTAGGAGTCATGGGAGTCAGAGAGGATCATTTTGCCTTTGCAAATGTTCTGGCCCACAGAGAACCACTGCACCTCTACAGTGTTTCTGGACACAGATAACTGATCACACTCCACTTCCATGACTTACTGTGGGAACTTGAGCAAATTCTTGAATTTTCTCTGACAGTTTTTTCATTCAATAAATGAGGACAGGAATGTTATCTATGTCATGAAGTCATTGCAAGTCTTAAATAAAGTGCATGAAGCCATGTTAGAACAGTGCCTGCCACATAATTAGTGTGCAGCAAATAAGTTAGCTCAAATTAGCCGTAATGGAAGGGAAAGAAAGAAAAAAAACAAAACAAAAACATTTCGCGGTGTTAATGGATTTTGTAACCTACTGTAGCGTGGAAGGTAGTTCGGTCCACTATCCCTCAGCCCCTAACTGTTCCAATGTTGCCATCTTCCCAGCCCTTTCATTCAGTTTTCTACACTGCAGTTAGAGTTATCTTTTTAAGATGCAAATCAGATGACTCCACTGCCCACTTAAACCTTTTCCATGGCTCTCTATAGCCCTCAAGTTTATGTCCAACTTCCTTGATACATTATAGAGCCCTGACCCACCTTCGCCTCTCTAGCATTTTGTCTCATCGCTCCCTTTCCCACAGTCTGAACTCCTAAAAATGCATTAGTTTCCCACCTCTGGGACAGCTTCCTTATGGTAATATTCTCCTTCCCTTCTTTGTCTAGTGTGCATATTAACATAGAACACATAATACAAATTTAGAGGTATGGAAACATTTTCACAATGTATGAAGATTGTGAAAACCCCATTTCCAATTAAAACAAATTACAAAAAATAGCTGGGCATGATAGCTGGTGCCTGTAGTCCCAGCTACGGAAGGCTGAAACAGGAAAATCACTTGAACCCAGGAGGCGGAGTTTGGAGTGAGCCGAGATAGCACCACTGCACTCTAGCCCGGGTGACAGAGCAAGACTGTCTCAAATAAATAAATACAATACAATATAATATAATGGGAAGATAGGGATAATGCACAAAAAATAAAGATAACAATGTATAGTCACATACTGAATTTCAAGAGGTAACTTGAAAGAGATAGTAGCATGCCAGGAGAGGAGTTTTTCTTTCAGACTTGGGTTATCTTGGTTACACTGAAAATTAAACATGCAATCATTCCATGTTATCTCAAATGTGTATGTGCATTTTCTCTTAAGTTACTTTAAAAAATAAGTAATGTATTCAAAGAACAAAAGGATGTACAGTGAAAAGTCTTCCTGCCACTTCTTGAGTGTCCTGCAACCACTCACGATCAATTTCTTGTGAATTCTTCCACACATACTTTGTGTATTTTAAGGGAAATATATGTATATGCAAATCTCCCATGTGCAAAAATGTATAATGTGTTATGTAATCAAATTTCCCAGTGTTTTCTGAGTAATGGTTTGTGTGTAGACTTTATTTACTCCAAGATTATAGAAAAGAATTCATGATATCAGCTGGTATATTTACGAGTTATTTTTTACATTTAAATTTTTGATACTGGAGTCAGATGTGAGATAATGATCTTCCCTCATTTTTTTCAGAAGTCTTTTTCTATTTCTTTATTAATCCATTATTTTGCTCTTCATTTGAAATGTTCCCAGAATCACAGACTTTAGGCTTGTGTGTACTGGGGCTACTTATGGACTTTATGTGCTTTCACAGCAATCTGTCTATTCATGTGTGTCATCACTCTTTCTATGATTTGTGCATCATATCTGCTGAGGATAGTGGTTTCTTGTTATTTACCTGTTCCAGAATTGTTCTGGCAATTCTTGTTTCTTGATTTTTCTATATAAATTTTAGAATCATCTTGCCTGAATTAGAAAAAAATCACATGGCATCATTTAAATGGCATTGCATTTACTGATTAATTTTGAGACTTTCAATACCTTTATGATGTTTAATCTTTGTATCCAAGAAAATAGTACATCTTTCTTGTTTTTTTAGTCTTCACTTTACGTTTTCTACACATAAATGCTGCACAAGATAGTTGGTATTGTTACTAATTTTAATGAGGCATTTAATAAATTATAACTTTTAACTAATATTTGTACATTATATTGAATTTTAACTCCGCCCCAAAAAGCAAAAGTAAAGGAAAGTCTAAAAGAAAAACTAGAGGAATCTAATTCAAGACTACTACTTTTAGGAATATAACTTGGAAAAAGCTCTTCCAGGTACATTCATAGAGACATCTCTGTTACAGTTTCTGTTTGGCACACTCTTTTTTTCATAATGTAAATAGGAGTGTTAAGGTTACTTGTGCTGATGTGAAATATAGCCCGAAAGTAGCTTAAAATATTTTCTACTTACACAATATTGAGTCATGCAAGACCTTTCACAAAACAAAGACTGGGATGGTGAAGCAGTCTATATAGGTTAAATATTGAATTAGATAGGAAGGGGTTCATTAATTTCTAAATATTTCCTTTTAGAGTTTTATGCCAATTAGAAGTTCTGTTTCTCTCTTCAAAGAATAGTTCTTCAATAGGCAGATATTTACCAAACACCTACAACCTACCAGTCACTCTCTGAGGTGCTGAAGGCACAAAAATAAAACTGACTCAGTTATTGCCAATGAGCATTTTGCATTCTAAGAACAATAGTCTAAGCCTTGGAAATTGTTTTAAAAGATTTCTGTGTGCTTTTTCAACATCAAAGCAGAACATTGTGGCTCAAGGAAATTTGACACTCTAATTGGGAAGGTAATTTTGTTTGATTTACTATTTACTACTGATAAGGGCACAGACTATATAAATTACATATTAATGTGAGAAGATTGATAATAGCAAGTGATATTCATCCGGCAGAAATGTAAATGGTTTCTAATAAAATCATAGAAATTGTAGTGTTATTCTTCTGTAGAACATTAGCCTAGTCTGTATTTAACTGAATAAACTTATCCCACCATTCTTTACATTCCACTTAGGTGTATATATGTATACACATATATGAATTCAAATATGTGTGTATATGTCTATTCACATGTACACCAACAATATACACCAGTATAGCAGTCACTACCAGTTTCTCCTACCCTCTTTTGAGCCAGCTTTACCATTACTGTGATTCCTTCATTAATAAACTAAATAAATCTTTGCTGTGTTCTCACTATATTTTTGCATAGGAGTGATGTTTTTAACCTTATTAAAATTAAACTTTAACAACATCTATAAAGTTTCCTTTGTTCTTCTTTTCCACACTTGGGCTAATTTCCAATGCCATTGTGAGACAGTGATGGCCCTTTATTTGAAGAAACTTGACTTTAGCTTTGCATTAAAGTGATTACAAAATACTTTAAAATTCTCTTACTTCTTTTTGAATACAAATAGATAGTAGAAGAATAACTCATCAACAGCATACTCACATTTTATTGTTTCTCAACACTGAATTCTAAATTCTAAAACAAGACCATTTTAAATTATTTTGAGCACAAGCTAGTCATTTTTCAAGTAATCAACAATGCCTCATCGGATTAGAATAGAAAACATTGAATTGAAGTAAATTGAATTGAAAGTATCAGCAGGCATTGAACACAGCAAGAGTAAGCAAATATTTCTACAGTATGTATGTATTAGATCTTTTATACTGGGTTTACACTCAGAAAAGTTTGAAAGCCGGTGGTTTAAATATTTTTTGCTCAGATTTTAGAAGATGAGTCATTGTGGACATGTGAGTTTATTCTAGAAAGTATGAACTAAATGGTCATCCATAGTTTAACATTAGAATACTCTGGGAAACCAGATATTTGTAGTAGCAGCAGAGGCAACTGTACTTCTCTCTACATTCTTGTGTATTCTTCGTGCAGACACATTTCACTACAGGATGAGACTGTTGCTGAAGGACTGCTTTCCAACTCAGTTATGATGTGTTGATCACAGAAATGAAAAGAAAGGCTTTATAAATCCATCCCTAAACCCTATCATTACATATCAGAATCAAATTCATACAAGATAACATTTAGATCTAAAGCGAAAACAAAACCTAGGCCAAAGGGTTCTGAAATAAGCATTAGAGAAATAAAAACTAAAATAAATCCAATCTCAGGTGTGAGATGGAACAAATGCTTTTGCTTATCTATGTTTTATATTCAGTGAGTGTAGTGCAGAATACTCTCCTTTATATCACTTTCTTAACATATGCTTGAGGTTCAAGTGGGCATTTGGCCCTCTTCAATCTCGAGAGCTCTGTGTAGCTCCTCTAACAAATTCACTGTATTTAAATGAAGCTATGTTATAAAGCCGACTAGGAAAAAGACATCTAAATGCGTTTTAACTCCAGAACCTCTTCCATCAAATTTCCATTCGTAACTGTGGCACCAAATTTTAGTATTGCAGAGAAAGAAGAAGCTTTTGCTGAAATAATTCCATGCTGAGACAGCTCTTTAATTGGGAACTTCTGCTAAGCTAGAAAATATGTTCGAAGGTCAGTACAAGGTTCCAGCTGGTAAATGATCTGCATTTTTCTAAGTGACTGATTTTTTTAATCACAATACTGCATCTATCTGATACTATTAAATACAAAAAGAAGGGGCATAAGTTTGGGTCCTCTTTTCATCCAGAACGCAATTTTATTCTATTGTCACTCTCTAGATTAGTGACTCAGGATCCAGAGAGAAGTATTGTGGATGCATGTGGGTAGAGTGTCCTTTAATTGAGTGCCTGCCCCCAACAGGCAACACCACACCTCTAATGACAGACTTAGTGAGCCACTATTAAGATTGTTTCCCGGGCCGGGGGCGGTGGCTCAAGCCTGTAATCCCAGCACTTTGGGAGGCCGAGGCAGGCAGATCACGAGGTCAAGAGACCGAGACCATCCTGGCTAACACGGTGAAACCCCGTCTCTACTAAAAATACAAAAAATAAAAAAAATTACTGGGCATGGTGGCAGGCGCCTGTAGTCCCAGCTACTCGGGATGCTGAGGCAGGAGAATGGCGTGAACCCGGGAGGAGGAGCTTGCAGTGCGCCGAGATCACGCCACTGCACTCCAGCCTCGGGGACAGAGCAAGACTCCGTCTAAAAAAAAAAGAAAAAAAAAGATTGTTTCCTTCAGGTGTATTTAGGTATAAAACGGAACCTTTCATTTCTCTGATATGGAAGGTGTTGAATTCAAAAGTTATTCTGGCCTTTTTATATTGCCCTATATCTGAACTACATCCTTGTCAAGTTCAAACTTGAAAGTGGTCAAAAGTAGTGTTCTATGAAGCATTGCTGTTCAGAGTGCAGAGCAATAAGGGCTGATCAAGAGCACCTTAAAACGCAGTCTCTGCCCAGGAGTGAGAATGGATTGGGCTCATCCCCGAACGGTCAGTGAGTTGAAGAGCTATTAAATTTGCCAGAATGGCCCCAATTGAGGTTTTCATACCTTCCTCCTCTCCCAGACAGTAGAATTTAACTCAGTGATGGCGGCCAGGTTTAAGAGTGTTTTTAGGACAATTGCAAGTGGAAACTTTCCCAGGGCAAAGAAATAATGAGCACTAAAGCCCAAGAGACATTGTTTTAGTAGAACTATTTTCTCTGTAAACTACTGGTATCAGATTTTCACTTAGGAAGAAAAAAAAAAGAGGGAGAAGGTTAAGAAATAAATGTACCTACACTAGCTAGTTAGACTTCTTATGAACATGGCTAAAGACATAACTTGAGCCTTTGCAAGGTGTCTTTGGCAGAGATCTAAAATGCATTGCTGATCCCCACCCTCCCCTCTAGGGAAATCGCTTAGGCATTGTCTGTGTAGATATCACCTGGAAGCTAGTCAAAAATGCAGAATCTCAGGCCCTGTGGCAAGCCTCCTGAATCAGAATCTGCAATCCTGACAGAAGCTCCAAGTGACTCATGGGAACATTAAAGTCTAAGAAGCTCTAGTTTTAGTGACATCCCTCTCCTATTAGAATACTTGCTCAAGTTAAGAGTTCCAAATTTATAATAACAAAGAAGAAAGGATAAGCATTTTTAAAGTTTTTTGCACAGATTACCAAATTTCACTTTGGGAAGGTTTTACTGACTTTTATTTGTACCAGCAAAGTACGCGAGGGTTTGTTTCACTGCACCCTTGAAAATGTGGGGCATATTATTCTTTGAGTTGTGAAATTTGCATTTGTAGTCTATGTGATGTGTGAGATAAAGATCTAGGCTTCCTAACAAGGAAGCAGTTTTCTCAGAACAAGTAAATGACTAAAGCTTCGTTTCTATATTGAATTGAAATGCTACCTTATCCTATATTTCTATTACAGAGCTTTAGAACTTCATATTTTTCCCATCAGTATGGGAAAATTTTTATTCTTACATCAGGACCATGATATTTTAATTATGGTGGTTTTTTGCTTGGTTTAAATATATGCTTTTGGTAGTCAGCGTATCCATCTTTAATTGCATCTAAACATTTCTCTCTATCACAACTATGATATAAATCCCTGCAGCATTTTGTGTATGTTTTCATAATATAGATGTACAGGAGGGGCAGCTTTACACATGACTTTTTAATAGACATGTAATAATAAAAGAGGACACTTAATCCTAATACTCAAAATACTACATTTTTCTGCCATTCTGTTATGTGCTGATTTATCTTTACAATATTTATGATATGAGGTTCAGTGGGACAGCAAGAACTGTTGAGTCCCTGCATTCAGCATGGTACCAAACCCGGGGACATAATAGAAAGACATTAGAAATGAGAAAAAGTAAAGAAATAGAATTCAAGGGCTCCACTCTTAAAGACTACAATATAAGTGATAATTTATGTTTAGGAAACAGACTCAAGAATTTAAGTTTAGAACACATACTAACAAACAGGTAAAAACACCCAATTAGGCCAGGCACAATAGCTTACGCCTGTAATCCCTACATTTTGGCAGGCCAAGGCAGAAGGATCACTTGAGTCCAGGAGTTTGAGACCAGCCTGGGCAATATGGTGAGACCCCATCTGTACCAAAAGAAAAAAAAAAAAAAAGCTGGGCACGATGGCACACACCTGTAGTCCTAGCTACTAGAGAGGCTAAGGTGGGAAGATCACTTGAGCTTGGGAGGTTAAGGCTGTAGTGAGCAGTGATCATGCCACTGCACTCTAGCCTGAGTGACAGAGTAAGATCCGGCCTCAAAAAAATAAAAACCAAAAAACAAAAAACAAAAAACCCACTCAATTAGTCAGAGAAAATGAAATGAGCTTGTATTAGTCTTTTTTTTTTCTTTTCTTTTCTTTTTTGAGATGGAGTCTCGCTCTGTCACCCAGGCTGGAGTGCAGTGGCTTGATCTCGGCTCGCTGCAAGCTCCGCCTCCCGGGTTCACGCCATTCTCCTGCCTCAGCCTCCCTAGTAGCTGGGACTACAGGCGCCACCATGCCCGGCTAATTTTTTTTTGTATTTTTAGTAGAGATGGGGTTTCACCGTGTTAGCCAGAATGGTCTCGATCTCTTGACCTCGTGATCTGCCCGCCTCGGCCTCCCAAAGTGCTGGGATTACAGGTATGAGCCACCACGCCTGGCCATGAGCTTGTATTAGTCTTTAGGCTGCTGTAACAAAGTACCACAAGCTTAAACAACCAAAAATTATTATTATGCAGTTCTGGAGGCTAGCAGTGAAATCAAGGTGTTGGAAGAGCCGTATTCCTGCTCCTGGCTTCTGGTTGTTGCAGACAATCTTCGATTTTGGTTTGCAGCTGTAAAGGAAGCTCTGCCTTCATCATCACATGACCATCTTCTCTCTGTGCATCTATCTCATCATATAGCATTCTTCTCTCTGTGTGCTTTCTCCTTGTTTTAAAAGGACACCAGTCATATTGGATTAAGGGTCCGTCCTGTTCCAGTATGACCTCATTTTAATTAATTACAACTGAAATTATCCTACCTATAAATAAGGTTACATTATGATGCCCTGCGGCTTAGGACTTCGATATATCTTTTTAGGAAACACAACTCAATTCATAACAGTTATCTTTAAGTCAAGGGGTGAGTAAATAACACTGTAGAAGTAGTGTGGGATGGAATTCCAATCGCTGCCTTCCCAACAAGTAATAAGTGCACATTCAGTTTAGAGGAAGTTATCTTTCACTGGGCAATCAGCTTTGAGACAATTTTATCTGATGATTAAGATTCAAGAGACTATGCCATTATCAATAGGACTTAGAAAGGGTGGATGAAGGAAAGAATTCATAATTAACTCTGCAAAGTTTATGATCCTAGAGAACCGAAAGAAGACAATGCCAGCTACATGAATGAGTAGTACACTTTACCCATGACTTTGCTGCATATATACTCGGTTTTGTTCTTCTATCAGTATTAGTAATAGACTGCCTTATTATAGGTCATCGTTGGGCTAATGTAAATTATTTTTCCTGCAGTTTATCTTGCTAGTTAGACGTCTTTATTTCGTTCTACCACAACACTTGCATCTGTGAACAAAAAGTGTTTGGTGAGCTCATGACTTGTCTGACCATCTGCCACTCACTCAGGAAATTGCTGCATTTATGCAAATACCCACCCAGTAATTTGTGAGCAAGAAGCCAAGGTGTTTGATTAAAGTAATTAATTTTCTCACGTCATCCTTAAAATGAGCAAGATGCAGAACCAGGTGGTTTGGCTAGTACCTTCTAAGTTGACCCTCACTTTTCTTGGTTTGTTTATCTCATGCGATTGAACACAATTCTAAGAGGCAGCATATTACAAAGGCTGTATATCATAATAAAATGGTCTTTGAGAAGATATGGCCATATAAATATAGACATTAGTTTTATGCTTATTTCAAAATGAAGACCCAAATAAATGGAGGTTTGGAATTTGAAAATGTTCCTTTCAGTCAGAAGAAATATTATCTAACTGCTTACATATACACAAAGGGATGTTATTCTAAATCTATTCAAACCAAGAGCCTCTTTAACACATGAACAATTCATTTAATTTCTGTTATTTTTCCCACTGTTCCCTGACTGGGAACAATGTCCTCACAGGAATAATTACCATGATTTTTGAAATTTAATAAAATCCTTAGTGCTTTGGGAAAAAAAAAAGATAATATTTATTTTTACATCGAATGTTGGATTTCATAGAACCTTAGAGACCAAGTCTAAACACTCTTATTTTTAAAAATTATGGAACCTTGTTCCTTTAATTTACTTAAAAATAAATTTTCATTTTTTCTTTAAGAGAATTTGAATGGGATCTTATTTTCCATGCTTTAAAAATTAATTTGAGAAGATATTTGACTTTTTTTCTTTAAACAAAACCTTTAATGCTATGTTAGAATCTGCTGTATGACATTTTGACTTTCATATATGTTCGATCAAGAGGGGTCCAGTGTAATGCTTAAATGCGTGCTTTCTCATAAATGTTAGTAAGTTACTTAATTTTCCCCAAATGTTGGAATCTGCATGCCATCTTTATAAAGTTAAGAGATTCATGCTGTTCTTTATGCATTTGATATTTACAGTTGAAAGGCCTGTATCATAAGCAATCTGGTTCACAGTTAGGCGTTTAACTTGACATTTTATAAAGCATGGACATTTGAGTCCTCAATCCTTTCAGCTTGTTTTGAGCTAAGTGTGAATTAAATGGTGGGTGTAGAGGCTGTGCATGATGTTTTAATTAATAACCCTTCTTGTTACAATTATTTTTATCTGGCTACTCAGAAAATGCATTTTATTAAACAACAATTCTATTTTTACTCACATGTAGAAAATATATCAGGTAATAACTTCCCACAAAATATCAAGGGAGAATTCTAACTTCATTTTTTCTAACATTACCTACCTATCAGTAAACCTATATATGTGTTTTTAAAATATACATTTTTATTTGGTGATAAAACAATACATTCATCTCAATATACACATAGTGTGTTATTGGAAGACCTGGAAGCAAATTGCTGCATATATTCTGATAACTATGTGCTACCCAGGACAGAATTGACATTACTAGTTTCAAATGAGTCACAACCAGCAGTAATATGATTGAAAAAAACAGAGACCAATTATATATCCTGAGTCCTTGGCAAGAAAAATGTAGTTGACTTATAGGTTATTTCCAGAGATTGGTTTTAATCTGCAAATTTATATCTATTACATATCTTGAGCATTTTAGTTCAGAGATTATAAATGCAGCTTTAGATCAAATAGAGAGAAAAACAGGCTAAAGCCATTTTTTAAAAAATATGTAAGCCTGATAAAAACATGATGAATTCTACCCTAGAGGAGTTCTGAGAGCTGATTGTGCCCTGGGTTCAGGATGTTTTTCTTCAAATAGGAGAAGAAATCATAGGTCACTTTGTTCCTTCTTCCATGGACTGCCCACACATGAGAGCACAAGGCAATTAAAAATAGAAAAAATTATTCCCTTTATCGAGTTTGTCTTCAGTTTACTGTGCTTGTCATTTCTATACATTTGTAACTCTTCCTTCAGTCAACCTTGCCTTCAGATTTTCTCTACCTGCCATTTTCCTACAACCTGTCCTGAGAAAATATCTGACGAAAGTAATGTAAACTAATACTTAAATGCTTAATAAGTCATCACTTTTCTAGGTTGTGGTTTAATAGAGTAAAGTCTCTATGTCTTTGTGGATTTCAGGCATTCATGTTCCAGGTGGAGGAAATATTTGGGGTGACTAAGGGCTCATCTATCCTTGTGCTCCCTAGGTTTCACCAGTCAATTTAAATCTTGCCCTCTTTTCAAGCTTCTGGCTCTCCTAACCCAGCAGCTGAGTACGATTAAAAGAGAGGTGAATAGTCATTTGCTCATTTGACACACTTATGCACCCTTGCTGACCCTCAAAAGGCCTCACCACTTTTGAAGTGGTTCTTTCGATGTATTTATAAAACTATTCATAAATATGAGAAAAAAGCTATAGAGGTCAAATATCATTTCCTTTTGCTTCCCTCACTGATTTTATTCTTGAATTTTCTCCAGAGAAGATTAATGTCAAGTTCTACTTTAATTTAAATGGGACATAGGTGATCATTTGGCTAACACAGTTACATAAAAGCATTTTATAAACACATATTCCTAAAATCATCCTTTGGAGACTAATGGAAAGGATGTATATTTGAAACATCCACAAATCATGGTACATGTTGCAGCTACACAGGAATCACAATGGCACCCAAATACACCATGGGGTGATGATCTTCCTATTTTATCTCTGCCGGAGGCTCTACTTCTTCCCACCAATTTCCCAAATCCTTGTCTCTTATTGGCAAATCTGAGAAGGATTTAAGCAAGAGTAGATGTCATTTATGTTTCAATAAGACTAACATTAAATGTAAAAGGAGGAAGGAAAAAGACCCATATACATTTATATTGAATGATACACAGTTACTTCAATTATCTGTATTTTAAAGAGTAGAACAGAAAACCAACCATGAGTCACAGAAAAGTGGTCATGAAGAAAATTAAAATAGCTCTAAGGACATAAACACTAAAAGAGCATCCTCCCACCGACTAACAGGTGCAGGACTCAACTCAAAGTAGTCAGGCTGTTGCCATATGGTGTCCATTTAGAGCCACAGCCTGTCTGGCCCACGGCTGTGCAACACAGTATACCACCACCTGTACCCAGACCTCTGCAAGAAAATGTGGTCTGTATCTCATTTTGTGGGGGAATAGAGGAAATCTTTGGGAGAACTATGAGCAAATAGATGATAGTTGAAGGGCTACCCTGATAATTTTTCTGGGTTTGTATATTGTGTCATTGTTACTGATAGGAGGGACGGTTAGTTAGAAGTGCAGAAAAATGGTAGTTCCAGACTTGTAAATCTACATGATGTTTAAAAATAGCAAGACATTATATAAAATCCAAAATAGAAAGAAAGAAATTATGACATCCTGAGGCTGTTGAAAAAAAAATTACCAAAATGACAGGTGTTTTTCCAACTGTGTTTCCTCTTCTGAGAATGCAGAAATGTCCTCTAGGAGATAAAGGCAAAATGAATCAGTGGAAAAGACTCACGGACTCTTTACTGTGGTACTGAGGCCACACGGACTCCTTTTCATCAACAACCAAAATATTATGAAAAACATTAAACTAAAATAATGTGAAAAGTTTCTAATACGTGACTAAAAGCATGTTGGTTCACACTTATATATGGAATTTCCATTTCATATTAACCTTACTTATATTTTCTACTATTGGATAAAATTAGGACTCTTATTAAAAAAGGCGGGTTCTCTTGAATTTTTTTCTTACAATGTGCCTATGTAAGAAAGTGCTTCATTTGGTAAATGCAACAATATATAGCAAATAGAAAATCCTCATCCTTGTGCATAATACCTACCATTTTGTGGCAATATTGTATCCAGAGGCTATTAGGATCTCTGGAAACTGCTTTTAACTCTTCTATTTAGCCCTTGGTAGGGATACTCTTTTTCTTCTGTTTGAAGTAATGGTCTTGTCCAAGACCATTCCAATGTAAGCAGCAGTGTCATACTATGTGGGTTATAGCATCAAGAACCATGCTTATCAATAGATAGATTTGGGCAAACCATATTGTACCCCCACCTCCAATGGTTTTGGTGGGTTAAATGAAGTTTGAAAGCCAATAGTGGAAATATGTAATAGTAACAGAATCACCAAAAGTCTATTTGAGAGGCATATAGAAAGCTGAGAACCATTTCTGCTTTGGTGAGCTTTTGAGCTGATTATAAAAATAGATGTTGTTTTAAGCAGTGCTAATTCTATATCCTTTAACCTAACCGGATTCCACATGAAATCATAACCCATAATGTGGGAACCATGGATGTTGTCATGAATAATTTAATAAACATAAAATGTGTGCTTGATGTTCTGCAATGTGGGACTTTGAGGACGAAAATCTTAGGCCTTGATCCAAGCAGTGCAAAATCCAGCAAGGGTGAGAAATACTAGCTATGCTATATTTGTGAAGTGTATGAAGAGAGATATTCATGAACCAAATATTATCAAAACACAGAAAGGACTAAATTTCCCTCTAGCAATCAGAAACAGTTGAAAACACATCACACATGTGCACAAAACTGGCATGGGAGATGATTCTACTGGTCACTCATAATGGATTTTTGACTGTTCCAGCCTACAGTTCTTTCAAAGTAGTTATTCTCGACCTGGGCCACTGTTGGAGGTTTTGAGTCCCCTAAGATTTAGAGAAATCAGTTTTTGAGATTCACTGGAGATCCAGAACAAGAAGTTTGAAGTAAGGATTGGACAATACCCCACTGGATTTCCCGCTGGGCTATCCCAGCAAGCCTGATGAGATCTATCCCCAAATCCCTTTCTCTAGGGCAGTGACTCTTTCGTTTACAATTAAAGCATCTGGACGTTTATTAGAAAGCAAATTCTCAGGCTCCATCCTAGACCTACTGAATTAGAATCTCTAGGAGGGGAGCCAGGGAGTTCACATTTCAATAAGTTCTTCATGTGATTCAAGGTGTGCTAAAGTTAGAGACATACTGCTAGTATTTAGTTATGCAACTTCAGTGTTGGGTAGATGGATCTACCACAGGTAATCATTAGCCCCCAGATTCAGAAGGGTTCTCCAGTAAGTAGAAAGTTTCAAGGACTGACAAATCTTAATTCAGTAGTTCAGTAAATATGGAATTTTCAGTAGTTTTCCAACTTGGCTGCATGTTGGAATCAACTTGGGTATTGAAAAAAAAAAAAAAAAGCTCATGCCTGGATCTTACCCACGGAATTCTCATTTAACTAGTCAGTTTTATAAGCTACCCAGATCAGTCCAATCTGCAGTGAAGTTTGAGACTACTGCATCAGAAAGTGGTGGTTCACTGACCTTTATCCACTAAAAGCCTATGGGAGATAGCAAAGGAAACAATTTTTGACAGAAAAGAACATAAAGGGAAATAAAATTTTTAAATATGTCAAACTTTATTCTAGGTTTAAATCACATTTTTGAGATTTTCTGTCTAGGAAGACGTTCTTAAAGAATCTTCCTAAATAATGACTGAGTAGCACAGATATTTCAGAGAGACTGCAGGTCAGAATAGAGAATCTTTATTCACATTATATTTAAGGATATCAACATTTTGAAGCATCAAATTAAACCATGCCCTCTGTACTTTAAATCATTCTGCCTTGGTCACTTTGTGTTGCTGTAAAGGAATACCTTAGGCTGGGTAATTTATAAAGAAAAGAGGTCTATTTGGCTCATAATTCTGATGGCCAGAATGTTCAGAATTAAGTATTTACATCCGGTGAGGGCCACAGGCTGCTTCCACTCATGGCAGAAGGTGAAGGGGATTCTGGTTGTTTAAAAGAGCCTAGCACCTCCCACCTCTCTCCTCCTTTCTTTCTGGCCAGTGTGTGCAGAGATCACATGGCCAGAGAGGAAGCAAGAGAGAGGTGAGAGGTGCTAGCGTCTTTTAAAAAACCAACTCTCGGATGATTCATAAGAATGAGAACACACTCACCAGCTCCCCCCAGGAAGGGCATTAATCTATTCGTGACAAATCTATCCCCATGACCCAAAGACCCCCCATTAGGCTCCACCTACAACATTAGGGATCAGATTTCAACATGAGGTTTGGAAGGACAAACATCCAAACTATAGCACTTCCCTACTTCATTTTTCTTCGCTTTCTCTCCGTCTCGCTCTGTCGCCCAGGCTGGAGTGCAGTGGCGCGATCTCGGCTCACTGCAAGCTCCGCCTCCCGGGTTCACGCCATTCTCCTGCCTCAGCCTCCCGAGTAGCTGGGACTACAGGCTGTTCTCGTTTTTAATCTCCTGATTGCCTCTACCTTTAGCATCTGATAACCTCCTTCTACCATCAAAAAATGCTTTCATTTAGAGTCTTCTGTATTTAATTAATGCACTTTTAAATATTTACTGAGCAACTGTTTTGGGGGTCACAGCATTTTCATAGTTATGCGATGATTTCTTCAAATTGTTCAAAAATGTTTATTGCATTCCTACTATCTTCCTCGCACTATTCTAGGTACATCACGGAGCAAAACATCCAAAAATCTTGCCATTGAAGGAGCTTAATTCTAGTGGAGCAAGGAATAAACAATAAGCAATATGTAAGACAGTAGATAGTGTTCTAGAAAATAGAGACTATGATAAGTGCTATAAAAAGAGAAAGCAGAATAGAGTAAGGGAAATTGATAGTGCAGGGCTAGGGAATGAGAATTTTACAAAGAGAAGGCAACATTTCCATCGAAACTTGAAAGAGATGAGGTTATTTGAGGGTAGAACATATCAATTAGTATGTTTCATGAAATACTAGACAATAACATTTTTAAAAGATTTTGTGTTATTTTTTTTCAGTTAAAAGAAGAAAAAAAGCAACGCTTTCTCCTAAATCGAGACTGCTCTACTTTCATCTTTCAGCCTGTTTCATGTTAATAGGTGTTTTTAGTTAATTAATTTCTTCCTTAGGATATTCATGTTTGTTCATGAAGATTGTAAAATCACAAAGTTCATGTGATTATTGTTATGTTATTAGGGAATTATCTCTCTGCAGACATTTACATTTGCCTCTCACTAAACACATTTGTGTTCCTCAGCATTCCAAGGTTGTGTGTGGATATGTCTGCATGTGTATTTTAGTCACACAACCTGCTGTGTATCTTAATGAGACCTGTACCATAACCAATTAGACACCTGCAGTAGAATCACACTGTGCTCCCAAATACTCATTTTCTCTGCTCGTCAAAGAGTTCAAACTGAGTCACCTTCACTTCAAGTCTATGCAGCTTTTTACTAAAATCTCAAAGTTGCATGGGGGCTTTACTCCTTTGCTCAAACCAATTTTTGTGAATGTTGGGTACGTAAAAACATCTTCAAAGTAAACATTTAGTAATTAATCAATGCTATAAATGTGTAATGAGTCTGTTCTGCAAGGGACATCTTGTTAGCTTTTGAGGGCATATAGGATACTATTTGAATTGGAGTAACTTTCTGTATACTCTAAAGAACAGCTGCCACCCTCAGTTCTAGATATGTCTTGGGAGGCTTATCGTGATTAGATTTTCACATTATATTTTCTTGGTAATTATATCTTAAAGCCCTTAAGTTCAAATGAAATTCGAACAAGTCACAGGTGATGCAACTAAATTATTGGTCATGAGCGTATATGTCACATCCGAAATAAATCTTGTTATATCCTCGGAAATTAGAAGTGGTCCTTCAGGGAGTCACTCCAAAACTGAAGAGGGAGCAATATTATAAAACCATTGTTAGGGCAGAAGAATAGTTTAATTTATAGTTCTTTTTTATTTGATACAATAACTGATGAGCTCTAAATCTCTCATACACAAAAATCTGATCTTTTTTCCCTGCACCAATTTAACTTTTACTTCCCAGATTTGCCCTCAAAGTACTCCACACAGCAGCTTCCATAATAATGCCCTCCACCTCCATCAATGTGCTAATCAGTTTCCTTACTCAGGCTTTAAGGGAGACACAGACCCTTCGAGGCAAGGCAGACAGGAAGAATAGCAAGGCCTCTACTCTGCTCCTCCTCCTTCTTTTCAGTCCTATCCTTTGCCTCCTAGAGAGCCCCTAGTTGTCTTGTAATATTCACCAAAATAAGTTATAACCGTAAACTTCTATGTTAAATTTTTTTCTGCAGAAGAAAATAATCATATTACAATTGATTCTGAGTTTTTAAAATGTTAATATGACTAATTTTAAAGCAAAATGTTGATTGATATACAAATAAATGTTAAATTCAGATGGTTTTATTTTCTGTTATATTTCCAAGAACGTGCTAATTCCAATATTTACTATCTTCCATTAATTTATATTACATAAAGCTTTCTAGGAGATGTAAGTAACATTTGATTTGAAGTAATTTAAACCTTCATGTTACATTGACTACACTTTTGCATTGTCAAGTATTTTAATGGAGAAATATTGAAATAAATATACTCAAAATTTATCAACATTTATTTTAGGATTTCAATGAATGTGATTTAAAATACATATGTTGAATTTTTATTTCTTTCAAAAATTTTTATTGTACCATGAAAGCTAAGATTTTTTAAAAAAAGGAAGAATTTATTTTATTATGCCATTACATTCATTACACTATCTGTAAAAGCATGCGAAAATTCTCTCTGCACATTTTGTTGAGCTAGCCATATTTATATAATTGGCAATATATAAAAGTTCATAAAGCCCACAGATCATTACAGTAGTAATCAGTGCTGATTCTAGTTAAAAAAAAAAAAAAAGATAGAAAAGGAAAGCAAAAGAAAAAAAGAGGCATAGTACAAGTGTATTAGACCATTTTTGCATTGCTATAGAGAAATACCTGAGACTGGGTAATTTATTTTAAAAAGATGTTTGATTGGCTTAGGGTTCTGTAGGCTTTACAGGCAGCATTGTGCTGGCATCTGCTTGACTTCTAGGGAGACCTCCAGAGGCTTACAAGGTGAAGCAGGAGGAATCAAAAGAGAGAGTGAGGAGGTGCCACACACTTGTACATAACCAGATCTCCTGAGAACTCACTCACCATTGCAAAGATAGTACCAAGCCATGATAGGTCTACCCCCATGACTCAAACACTTCCCACTAGTCCCCTCCAGCATTGGGGATTACAATTTAACATGAGATTTGGGCAGAGACACATATCCAAACTCTATCAACAAGTTACAACACAAATGAGATTAAGATTATCCCCATTAGTGTTCTGCATATGTACTTCTTTCTGCCACTGATCGTTTTGACTATATTCACATGAGCAAGAGGAACAAATTGAAGGGATTTTGAAAGATATCATTTGACTTAATCGATGTAATGACATATACATTTTTGTGATCTTAAGTACTTTAGAACATGTGAGGTACTTTATAGAGCACCATTCACTCCACAAACATTTAGGAATTCCTAAAAGACAGTGATTCTTTCTGGAATAAGAAGTACAAGAACCAGGATGGACTTGCCTGATGAGAGCAGCTCATCAAGGCAGATGTGGACAGATAATTGGCTGACAGTCAAGTTGGGAAATAGAGCAGAGTGAGTGAAGTTAGATCACTACTTGTGAGATCAGTTAGAAAAAATCAGGAAACTCGTTCCATTTCTTGTTCAAAATTAGCTCAAGATGGGGCAAAGATTGAACAAAACAGGAATATGAGAGAAGGGGAACCTGACCAAAAAACAGTCATGAACAAGAACCAAAAGAAGTGTAAGAGTTGTTATAATATTTTTGGTGGATAAACTAAGAAGCACACTGGCTGGATGGTCTCTCAGTAAGGTGTAGTTCCAGGCTGACCATCAATGAGGATTGACCATGAATTGACAGAAATTAATGGAATTTCACACTGGAGTTAGAATTCCAAGACAATGAAAATAGCACACAAGAATTACACTACTGGAGAGGATTTGTGAAATTTGTGTGTGTACAAGCTATGAGTTAAAATCTTATATTCGAGATATAGAAATTATAACCTTACTTTCTACAGCACATTTAGAACAAGGTTACTGTAGCTAAGCAACTCAAAATTTCCAAGTGAGCGTAATCATCCCTACAGATTTTGAAAGCTTAATGCAAGTTTCCAGAGTCTGAATTAAATTAAGGATGGCTACAATGTTGAAGAATTAATAAATACCTATTCAGAAGAAGATGAATTCCATATTCACAAATGGAATGTTTAAGAATTTTAAAATTTAAGCAGCAGATTTGAACATTGGCAATTCTATTTTAAAAAATAAAAAACATGTAAGAACAGATCTATAATACACTTTAATCTTAATACTTGCATGTCTTACTACTTAGACCATCAAAAGAGACGAAATTATGTGTAAAATATCGTGAGCTTTTATTATGTGCCCAGTACCGTAATAGACTCTTTACAGTCATGATCTCAATTAATCTATACAGCACCTCTATTGGGGTAACTACTGCTATCCATTTTAGAGATAAGAAACCTAAGGCAAACATGCTCGAGCAAGGTCACAGACAAGTAAGTATCAAGGCACAGATGCAAGCCTGTCTGCCTCTGGGGTCCAGGCCTTTAACTACCACATTCAGCTGTTGAGGCGGACAGATAAACAGAAAGGCCAATACGAAAAGGAATCTTCCCTATGTACTCTCAAAGTGTGGAATTTAGCTTCTAGGAAGAAATGGGAAAAAAAAGAAAAGAAAAAGAGAGAGACCATAAAGCAAGCTAAACCCCTTCTTACTTTTGTTTGTTTTTTCTCAGTGATGCGTGTGATCCTGTTAACATCATACTTGATTTAAATGTTTTGTTTTACTGTTATATGTAATGAAAGATAAACTTCTTCCCATTGGCTATCATGAGACCCCCAGAAGCTGCTGCACAAGAGAATATTCTTATTAAGAATTTTGAGTAGGCTATTAATAATTTCTAGTAATTATAAAATTGTTTAACATTTATAACATTGAGGAATTTATTTCAAAACTGCAATATTATTATCAACATTAACGACTAGTTTCACGGTCATTTTTAAAAGATGACAGTGGAGAGCAAGACCTAAAATGTATTTGCCAGCTTTAAGAAGGCACATAAGAAAAGGAAACATGCCAAAGAATACAGAGATTCGAATGAGTAAAACTGTATTTTAGGCTCTGGCACTAGTTTTGTGGGCTTGCTAAATCACTTTACCCTCTGAATTCTTATTCATTATTTACATAAATGGAAATCCCTATGTGCTACAAATTTCTGTGACTCGATTATCATATTTCAACCCAGAGGAAACTAGAAATTACATAGTCTGAGCAATGACTATATATGCCCTTTGTTGGCATGACCTGAATTAAATCACTTCAAACTCTCAGGAGAAGATAAAAGGGTTTTTTAAATCCAGATCTTAAATATTCAACTTCTAATTGTTCATTGCTAGTATATAGAAAAGCAATAGATATTTTTATATTGAACTTGTAATCTGGGTCCTTGCTAAACTAATTTATTATTTCTAGTAGCTTTTTTGTTGTTGTTGGCAGACCCTGTGGGATTTTCCTTGTAAACAAATCATGAAGTCTGCAAATAGAGTTTTATTTCCCCTTTTCCAATTTGTATGCTTTTTTGTTGTTGTTGCCTCATTGCACTGGCTAGGACCTAGTACAATGTCAAGCAGGAGTAGTGAGAGAAGACATCGTCGCCTTGTTCCCATCACTGTTCCCCGTCTTACAAGAGAAGCATTCATCGTTTTACCATTAGTATGATGTTGACTGTAGGTGTTTTCTATACATCTTTTATTAAGTTAAAGAAGTTTCTTTTTTATTCCTAGTTTATGGCAAATTGCTTTTATGAAGAGATGTGAATTTTGTCAAATGCTTTTTCAACACTAATTGAGAAGATCATATGATTTTTCTTCTTTAGTCATCATATTTTAATTATTCATGTGCATTCATTTATTTAAATGTTCCTGTGTCATCTAGCCTTGTATTTCTCACAGTGTCTGAAATACAGTATATAATTAGTAAATATCTTTTCAGGGACAAATACGTGAATGCTGGATACTGTGCTAGGTGCTCTACTGTTAGAATTTTCTATGTTTTATGCTTTATTTCTCTTCTCTATAAGTACAATTTTCATTTCTGCAATATACTTTAGGTTGCAAGAATAATCGATTCTTTTCATGCGTAATTGATGGTATGAGTTTACTCTTATAACCCTGAAATCAAGAACAGGTAAAATATTTGGGGCATGTGCTCTATTACTCCCTTGATGTGTTCAGTTGTAATGAGTGAATTATGGACACAGTATATCTGTAATACTAAAAACTCCATACAGATAAAACACCCTTTCTCAGCAAATAAATTTTTTAGATATGTCTGTTTATGTCTCGGTGCATGGATATATATTTTCCTATCCTTAAAATCATTTCCACCCTCTTTAATGATCCATCTTATGCTTAGTTTCCTAATCACTAATAGAAAATGAAAATGTATCTTGCTTAGTGAACCATCCTCAGTACTAACCCTACCGGGTATTTGAACTGCTTCTTGGCCTTCTACTCTCTGTATTTCCCCCTCTGTCTTACAATTCACTTGCTTGTGATGGTTTTATCTGGAATAATGGATTGTTTTGTAGAATTGCTATAATCTATTAAATAAAATTTTCTGGACCAGGGTTCGGCACATAAAGCCACTAACATATATCTGTAAAGTTATATTCTATTCTCTGATAAGAATGATGCTATGTTCATGTAAAACTGCTTTCATATAATATAGAATATGTTACTATTCAGCATGTATTTCATATAATATAGAATATATTACCACTCAATCATGTACACACTCTTCGTTATACACATCATGATATTTGGTGTAATTCTTATAGGACTCCTTATAGGAGAATTTGGTGAAATTATAGTGGTGAGCATTCCTTCACGAGTAGATGTATCAATAATTAGTTTTAGATGAGGCTGTGTATGAAATAAATATAAAATGCCTCAGTGAATGGATGTTGCCATTGAGCTTATTCTCCAGCTGGGTACTGTGATTTTCTTGTCAGCTTATTGTGTCACCCACTTACGTGACAGAAAACCTGTGGTTTCCTCTTATTTGCTATTGCAAATAGAAAACTAGGAAGACACAAACTGTCCACAGATTTTATCTTATATATGAGTTTGCATTTCCATAGGACTCTAGAGTTGATCCACGTTCCAAGTTTTCTTTTAGTCCATCACTTTAAAATAGATGCTTCCACTTAAATCAAGATGGAAAATCTATATTGATAAAACCCTATGTTACATTTCAGGGGAGAAAGGGTATATATGTTTTATGAGGTTTTTTTGTAGGTTAAGAAAAAAAGATCTTTGGCCGGGCGCGGTGGCTCACGCCTGTAATCCCAGCACTTTGGGAGGCCGAGGCGGGCGGATCACGAGGTCAGGAGATCGAGACCATCCCGGCTAAAACGGTGAAACCCCGTCTCTACTAAAAATACAAAAAATTAGCCGGGCGTAGTGGCGGGCGCCTGTAGTCCCAGCTACTTGGGAGGCTGAGGCAGGAGAATGGCGTGAACCCGGGAGGCGGAGCTTGCAGTGAGCCGAGATCGCGCCACAGCACTCCCGCCTGGGCGACAGAGCGAGACTCCGTCTCAAAAAAAAAAAAAGAAAAAAGATCTTTAACTGAATTTTTTTTCTATCTAACTATTCATTTCCCGAATCCTCTTATTTGTTAAGATAGCCAGCTTCTATACCATGAGTTCAGAATTATGTTCATATGTTTTACCTGCCTCATCAAAATGAATGGAATTTGTCCTTCCATATTGTCTGGTATACGAGGATGTTTATCACTATACTCCTTTGTTCTCATTCCTTAGGCCATGATTTTTCGGCAAATTATCCTTGGGAGGAGCCATGTTGAGTGTGGCTATACTTATCAGAATTTTCTGTGTAAGATGCCATTTTCGCACTTTTCCCCAAGGATTCACCGAGAAAAATCAAAAGTGAATCACAATGGAAAGTAGGAGAGAAATGAAATAAATATCACAGACACAATGGCATCTTATCACTTTATCAATGAAAATTACTTATGGTGAGTTAGATCTTGGCAAAATTAAAAACTTTAATAAAACTTTATCATTTTGACGTATGAAAGGGAGACTACCAAAGGGATATATGTAGAGAGGGGAAACTATGCTCTGTCCTCTCTTCATGAAGCCTGGCCAACTAACAAAGACCCAGAAAGCTAAAGGAGAGGAGGAGAAGGAACAATGCTCCTAAGGTTTTAAGCATGGACTATGGAGACCTTCTTATCTCAATCAGAAGGTCTTCAAAGAAGACACAAATCTTCATTTATTACCTATATTTAAAATATCCTATTTTAATATACCTATAGTATTGTATGCCAGAAACAATACTCTGGTTACTACCAATGGATTAGTTTCTCAGCTTCAGAACACATCAGTAGGGGATAAGTGAGTGAATAGAACTCTATTGAAAGTCTAAGAATGGCATGCTTTGATTAGAATGTCCTGGAAATGACTACCAATTTAAAAGAGCTTAGTATTTCCACTAAGAAATTACTACTTTTTCAGATGTTGTATGTGGAAGAACTGAGTCTGTCTTGACAATGTTGTATTGATCTGGATGAAACAAGATCAACAGGCATTAGTTACTCAGTGACTAGGCTATTAAAAAATAAATTTGAAATTATTTTTCTGGCAAACAAACACAAATTTATAAGAAATGCACAAATTTGTTTATATGTTATAGTATGTTTATTGTTCATTTGCAAATAAAAATAGTCCTTTCCTCATCTTGCAAATTTATTTATCAAGTGCTATCATTATATAGTTGCTAACTATTACTAAATATGCTGAATATATAGTTGCTAAATATTAACCTTATGTAATTCATTTACTATACCTTCAGTTTGCTTAGCATATCAAACTTTATTGTTATTTTAACAAAAATAATGAGAATAGTAACATGTTCATAGTCTTTTTATTTAATTTTTACCATCCATACTTGTTTCTAGCTACTAATATATGTTTTCCAAATATTTTCACATGCATTGTTGCATTTGCACTCCAGAAAACCCTTAAGAAAAAAGTAGGGCATATGTTGTTAGCCCCTTGTCTGATGAATAAATTTAGATGATAAAAATTCAAGGAAATATCCCAAACTGACAGAGCCAGCTGGTGACAAAAGTAGACTCCTGTTTCAATTTTTTGAATTTGCATGTGCTTGTCTAACTCGCTAACTTCTAACATATCCCTTTTATCAAGATAGTTCTCTGTGCTTTTGAATCAATATGCTTTTTTCACATAAAACTGATTACCATAGGCAATTTTGACATTATTACAAGTGGTCTGTAGGTGTAAGATGTAAAGGAACTAGATATACCTTCCGTATATGTAGATGTCAGATAAAATCCCCACGGAAACAAGATGGCACTGCTGAACACCCGTACAGCCAGGGAAGATTCCTCAGCATGGAATGCACAATTTTCTACACTGGGAAGATAAGAACTGCAGTAAAGCGATACAATTGGTTTCTGAAGAAAAAAGCCAAGCTTCTTTTTAGCTCTGTGGGTGTCTTTTGTAGCTCAGTGAACCGTTGACAGAAACTGAGACAATAGCTTAGGGAGAGATAGGAAAAAAGATTTGAAGGGAGTATATTAATATGAAAGGTCACCAACGAGACCTGTGCACTGTATGTGTGTCTCTCTTTGGACTTAGAATTGTTTTTTCCAAATTCAGTTTTTAATTATAACTGTCTATCTTATATAGGCAGCGGGAGTTTAACCTTTTTTTTTCTTAGATGATGTAAAAGCAATACCAAATGAGGTATTGATAAAATTTGTATCTATTATTAACGGTAGAAAAGTTTTATGAGTGCAGTACTTGCGATTTTCATGTAACGTAATGAAGACAGCAAGACTAGAATCTAGCTAGAATGTGAAATTAGCTCTTTATATAACTTTTAATTTAATGATTCTAACAAATTCATAAGTCATAATAACTTAGTAAGGGGCAGAAGCAATGATGGAAAAAAACTTATATGGGACAGGACGTTTTACTTTACATTATCCCATTTTATAAACAATGGATTATGGTATTATCCCCTGTCATAATAATGTATAAATAGAGATTAATTTTAATTTCTTCACAACAATGTAGAGTTATAGAATGAATATAATTCAGAATTGTATTGTTGTTTTGTTTTATACTATTAAATTACATATGTAGAAAAGACAGGATTAAGAGTGAGGGCTTTAGAAAGCACCACATTATTGGAAGTGTTCTGAGAATGAAAAAATGTTAAGGACGTAGAATCTGTGATTCCAAACCTGAGAAGCCTTTTAAAAAAGACATATTGAGAAGATAAAATAAGCAAACAGAAAATGGCCTTAAGAAAACTTACCAAGCTTCATATCAGCAAGTGCATATCAACATAGCACAAAATAAATTCCAGCATGTTTACAGCGTGCAGAGATACAGTAGTTAAAAAATGTATATTGATGATGAGATGGATCAGGCTTACCTGAGAGGTAAATTTCAATTCAAATTTTGAGGAGGGCAATGCATATGAAGTAGAATATGCAATGGGAATCTTCTAGATAGAAGAAATGATCATATATATAAAGGTGCAAAAGCAAGACATGGCAAGCAATATGAATGAGATCAACAAAAGAAGCTGGAATAGAGGAGTGGTTCTAAGAAAGAGGTAGAGGTACAGAAGGCAAGTGCATTTAGCAGGGCAGGAGGTGGGGAGAATAGCAGCTGGCCACATATAGGATGGATAAGGAGTTTGGAGTTAATGTGGTAGGCAAGAAGAAGCACTTAAAAAGCCTTCCACATAGCAACTACATGGGTTAAATATATCTTACAGGTTAAAAAATGTACTGGGTAAATTGAAGCCCACATGAGGTTATTTCTTTCTGCCAAATGAAAATGGTGAATGCTTCCAGGTCTTCCACATGTTAATTGCTACTGGGGTATAAGAGGGCCAACCCCCACCCTCAGATAGAAAGATATGTATCTCAGAGACAATCATCCTGAAAAAAAGATAATAGAACTTAATCATGGGTTATCTCTCATGGACTCAGAGAAAAGAGAACTGTAAAGAAAGAAAATGAATCCATAATTTTTGAGCCCAGGGAACCAGGAGGAAGCTGCAAGTGAAAATGACCAGAAATTATAACTCTCTTAACTAGTGAGTTTTTATTGAGCACCATCTTGTAAAAGGCATAGTCCCAAATCCCAAACATTATTTATGAGTCAAAGAAATGTCGAAGCTAGTGTTATTTTTTTTACATCACTATCAGGGCAGTGGGAGTAGTGGGGTAGTGTATGTGATGAGTTTATATGTTAATATATAGTAATAAACTGCCAATACAAGAGCCAAAAAGATCTATCTCCAGGACCAGCTTTCTGGTCTGAATCATTTTTTTTCCTTATTAGCCTCAGCTATTGTAGGAATAGGTTTTGTGTACTTTGTGTCTTAAGTACCACAGTACTTAACTACTATGTTACCTAGAAACCTGGAAACCAACACCATACCATACCTTCTTATTGAAAAAGTACCCAACTCAGAGTGATCCACTGTATAACCCCCACTGTGATGTAATTAGAGCAAAGAGGCAAATCAATGCAAGTCTTGTGTTTACAAAATCACTGGATGCATAGTCAATATGGTGCCTATGGAATAAGGGAATAACAAGCCACAAAGATATATATACTCCGTAACTTGGATTATTGTTCCTTTGTGCTTACTCTGGCAAAACACCACATAACATTTAAGAATGTCAGGAAAAATATTATTTCACCCCCTGCCATTACGTTTTTATTTTAAGCCCTGTTCAAAACAACTGCTCTGAAATAACTGAAGTGTTACTAGTTCTACTTTCCAAAACACACTATACTTTTTCTGAACATCTCTAAATAATAAATATTTCTGAACGTGTATCATTAATATTAGAATTTGTTCTTGACTTTAGTCTCATGTTACACACTTTCTTATTGTGGGGGTCAAAGTGATGAATTCTGCATTCATCTGCTCTGTGAAAAACTTGGTAAGATCAAATTATTCATTTATGCATAAATTTTGCTAATGGTTGAGCACCTACAATAACTCACATAATATAGAGTCATGTGCTTATATGGGAGAGACAACCAAGTAAGCAACATGATAAAGCATGATAAATGTTAGACTGAGGTGAATAGAGAGCTATTGGGACACTTGGATGCAAATCTCCTGGTCTGAGTCAGTGGAAATTTGCAGAGTCGGTGGAAATTTGCCTGTGTGACCCAAATTTGGGTCATACAGGATAAGTGGAGGTTGCATAGGTGAAGGGAGTTGAAAAGGCATTCTAGAAAGAGAGAAGAGCATGTGCAAATATAAGAAGTCTAGTTAGATAACTTCACAATTACTTTGGTATACTTGGCACCTAGAACATAAGGCAGAGAGTGGCAAATAATGAAGTTGGAGGACTCAGGAACCAGCAGATGATTAATACCTTGCATTCCATACAAAGGAGTTGAAACTCTATCTGAAGGTCCTTGGTGATATGATTAGCTCTGTGCTGTGGAAGATCAGCAGCAATGTGAGATTCACTTGGAGGCAATAAAGACTGGAGTAGTGGGATCCATTTAAGAGGCTATTAAGGCAACCTAGAGAGAGATGCTGGTCGCAAACTAAGGGAGTACCAATGGGATTGAAACAGAAAGATGTATTCAAAAGCTGTAAGAAATGAGAATCAAAGGAATCTAGTTTCTGCCTTGGAAAACATTATGTTCTCCATTTAACTTCAGCACTTTGTTTTGCCCTAAGGTTCTCTTATTTATGCTGATTGACATATTTTCTGTTTTTATTAACCAGTGGGTCACATACTGTAGTGCAGTGTTTTGTCTTTTTAAGTAAACATTCACAAGAGGTTTGACAGCTTGCAGAAATGTGTTAAGTATTTGCCCACCTAATGCAGTTCCTTGAAGATAATTGACTGTCATTGGATCATTTTAGCTCATTGTTCTACAAAAAACTAGCTTATAATAGTTTCAAAAACTGAGATTACCACATATAGAGAAATATGATCAAGTCCTTGGTGTAGCAATTTTCTTCAGAATCAGTGCTTGGAGCAATATGAAACTATCTAATTTGGGGAGAATTAATAACACTGCTGCATCTTTAAAGAAAAAACAAGTATGTAAAAATCCTTAAAGTGAAACAATATATTTTAAAACATATCATTTCAACTGTACCTATTACTTAAACAAGTGAAAAGATAAACTGATTTTCAATATGCAGAACCTAGCAATGAAAATCAACAAAGCCAGATAAGATTATTTTTAAAGCAATTAAGAGATGCCATAAAGGATAAACTAAGATTGCATACTCTTAGAATTTTACAACTAGAAGGGACTCCTGAAATCAAGGTTTCAGTTAGAAACATTTATTTAGGAATAAAGCTACAGCTTCTTTGAATTTTAAGGTCTAGACAACCCAGAGAACATATCCCCCTCTATACTAAAACATGTGGCTTGAGGCATGTTTCAATATAACATTATAATTTTCTTTGACTCAATATAAATATCATGACAATAGTCAATTATGTAGTCCTTCCAGGTAAAGAAATAATTTCTTATGTCTTTTACTAACATTAGTTTCTAGCATCATCTTCCACCTTAACATTTGACATTGATGTATACAGAACAGAAACCTCACTCAAACTAAGATGAGCAACCAAACAAAAGTAGGGGCAGGGGATAGAATGAATGATAACGTTACTAAAAGGTACGGGGCCCACCCTGATGTAGGCTGGGCCTAAACAATGTCACCAAGACTTCCCTTCTCTTTCTGTTTGTGCATTGGCTTCACTTAGGCAGATTTTCTCTTCAGTTGATCAGCTCAATAACCCAGCGAACAAAAACCAGCTTCTCTTTCTCAGTAGTCACAGAAAACCCTTATAATTTAGTCTCATTGGGGTGACTAGAGTTATATTTCATTTCCCTTTAGTCCAGTACTCAGTCCACTTTGCATGGTGGTTCGGTCTCCTCGACTAAGCATTGTGGTCTGAAGGAAGGAAAACCCTGCTTTGGCCAGGTCGGATCACATGCACACTACTGGTCAGCAGCCCAGAATCACCTGGCCCGAGGCTTAGGAGAAGGTGGTTCCCAAGAGGGAGCTGTGGTGGTCTTTGCAGAAAAAGGAGGAGGACAGGATGAGGCCTAGTCAAGAATAGCAGATGTTTTCTACTCTTGAATTTCATAATTCTCTTACTTTCTTACTTTTACTACTCATGTTATAATTTTTTCCACTCATGTAACCATTAGAGACAAAGAGTCTCTGTGCCAACTCTTATCAAATTATAATGGGCTGAATGTTTGTATCCCTCCAAAATGCATACGTTGAAACTGTAATCCAAATGTGATGGACATTTGGGAGTAATTGGTCATGACGGAGGTAATTAAGTCATAATCACTGAAGAATGGGAATAGTCCTCTCATAAGAAGAGGCCAGAGAGCTAGCTAGTTTTCTTTTCCCCATGTGAAGATATGTATTAGTGACAGTTCTTCAGAGAACCAGAACCAATAGGATATACACAGTTGACCCTTGAACAATGCAGGGGCCCTGCACTGTCAAAAATCCACATATAACTTTTAACTTCCCCAGAAACTTAACTACTAATAGCCTACTGATGACCAGGAACCTTACAGACAATATAAACAGTCAGTTAATGCATATTTTCTATATGTGTTATATACTGTTTGCTTACAATAAAGTAATCCAGAGAAAAGCCAACATTATTAAGAAAATCATAAAGAAGAGAAAATATATTTACTATTCGCTAAGTGGAAGTGAATCACCATAAAGGCCTTCATCCTTGTCATCTTCACATCGATTAGGTTGAGACGGAGGAGGAAAAGGAGGTGGTCTTCCTGTCTCAGGGTGGCAGAGGCAGAAGGGGTAGAGCAGGTAGAATGGGAGGCAGGAGAGGTAGGGACATTCAATGGAACTCTTACTGAAAAAAGTCTGCACATAAATGGACCCAAATCATTCAAAACCGAGCTGTGCAAGGGTCAACTGTGTGTAGACATATAAGGAGAGCTATTATGGGAAATTGCTTATTTGGTTATGAAGGTCAAGTCCCACCATTTACTCTCTGTAAGCTGGAGACCCAGAAAATCTGATAGGTGTAATTTAGTCTTAGTTTGAAGGCCTGAAAATGGTGGGAGCTGCCGTATAACTCCTAGTTTAACACCGAAGTCTGAGAATAGGGATTGGTGGGGGTAGGGCAGGTCGCTGTTATAATTTTTAGAGTCCAAAGCTCCAAGAACCATGAACTCTTCATCGAAGGGTCGAAGAAAATGAATGTCCTAGCTCCAGAAGAAAGAATGAATTAGCCCTTCTTCCATCTTTTTGTTCTATCTGGGCCCTCAGTGGATTGGATGATGGCTGTCCACGTTGGTACAGGCAGATTTTCTTTACTCAGTCCAAAGCTAATCTCTTCCATAAATACCCCCATAGACATATCCAGATATAATGATTTACCAGCTATCTGGATATCCCTTAATCTAGTCAAACTGACACATAAAATTCACCACCACATGATACAAAGAAAAGTCAGCAGCCTGTGACTCAGAAGAGGAACCTCATTAGAACCTGACCATGCTGGTACTCTGTTCTCAGCCTTCCAGTCTCTAGAACTGTGAGAAATAAATGTTTGTTGCTTAAGCCACCCAGTCTGTAGTATTTTGTTATGAAAGCCTGAGCAGACTAAGATGCAAACTAGGCCTCAAAACAGACTTTTTTTTTGGTTAGACCTTTTCTAACCAAAACTTATTCCTTGTTGAAAAATGTGCCTCTTGGCCTAACCCTCTTTGCATCCATGGGGTGGATGCAAATCATACTTGATCATAGTGAATAATCATTTTAATGTACTATTTAATTCAGTTTGGTAATGTTTTGTTGAGATTTTTTACATCTGTATTCATCAAGGATATTGTTCTGTGTTTTCCTTTTTTGTAGTGTTCTTGCCTGACTTTGATATCAGAGTAATGCTGGCCTTGTAAAAATGAATTTGGAAGTATTCTCTCTTTTTCAATTTTTCTGGAAGAATTTGAGCTCACTTTGAACTTGGGGAGATAGGCAGTGAATATTTGAAAGTTTTTAAGTCATTTTTTCTTTCTTTCTGTTTTTTTCCAAGACGGAGTCTCACTCTGTTGCGCAGGCTGGAGTGCAGTGGTATGATCTCCATGGCCACCTCCGCCTCCCTGGTTCAAGCGATTCTCGTGCCTTGGCCTTCCAATTAGCTGGGACTACAGGCATGCGCCACCATGCCCAGCTAATTTTTGTATTTTTTGTACAGACGGGGTTTCACCATGTTGGCAAAGCTGTTGTTGAACTCCTGGCCTCAGGCAATACACCTGCCTTGTCCTCCCAAAGTGCTGGGGTTACAGGCGTGAACCACCCAGCCTGGCCTATAAGTCACTTTTAAAGTCTCTGGTCTAGAAGACTCAGGAGTGCAGGGCTCAGTCTACACCCAGAGCTGTCTGATTTAGTAGCCAGTCCCTCAGGTGAAGGATGTAAACGTTGGGGTGCTTGATGTGTGCAGAAACTGCTTCCAGGGAGAATGTACAGATCTAGATTTATTGCTGGAACAAGCCGTGGAAGAAGGTGCAGGGAGTGCCTACTCTCTCGTTCTAGAAAGCAGAACTTTTACACCCTGTTAGCAGGGACAGACTTACAATGTGGAGTTAACACTGAAGCAAGCTAGGGAGGAAGGCATAGGGAGTGTTCACTCTCCTGTTCAAGCAAGCAAAGTCTCATACCCTTCTTGCAAGGGGAGGCTTCTTTTCTGGAATTATGGCTGAAGCAAGCTGTGAAAGAAGATGCAGGGAGTGCCCCTCTCCTTTTCAGGCACAGAGAGGTCCCCCAACCTCCCCCTAGTGAAAGATTGCAGAAATTTATCTCATCTCATATCCAGAGCAAGCCAGGAAGACAGTGGGGGAAGTACCATCCAGTCTACTCTTATTGACAGAGACCTTCAACCTCTTTCCATGAAGAGATGACAAAGCTGGGATTGTCACAGGAGCAAGCCAGGGAAGAAGGAATGGGTAGTATGGTCCCGCCTATTTAGGCTCCAGGAGGCTAATTCGTTATTTTCCATGTAGACTCCCAGATGCTGGCTCGTCAGAGGCCAGAACTACAGGAAACTGCTGGAAAAGCTTGCAGCCAAACCTTTCCTGTAAGTTGGAGACTAGGCTGATCCTGGGAGCTACAGCTGCTGGGAATGCTCCCATGGTTCCAACGTCCTCTTTGTTTTTTGTGCTTGGGGGAAATCCTCTGATGCTGTGTTCCTGCTGTTCCTCACCTGGGTGTTTTAAGAGCCAAGCTCTCCAGTAGAGTCTGGAAAAGTTGGGAACTATATGTGTATAAGAGTAGCCCCTTACTCTTCAGGAAAAAGATAGGAGCTGGGTTTGCTTCCTGGTGATGAGGCGCTGTGCTCAGGGTGGGGTTAGTGTCTGAGTGCATCTCCAATTTTCCTACCCGTTTTGATGTAGGTGTTTTCTAGGTTGTTTGTTGTGTAGGAGGATTTCAGTTGGTTTCTAGCTTTCTCTTGGAGAAACTGATCTACTATTTTTTATCTAGGACAGTAGTTACCACGTTTACTTGGTGTGTCTGTGATAAAAGGAAGAGGCAGGAGCCTCCTACTCTGCCATATTCTCACATCACCCCAGAAAAATGGTAATTTAAAAATTCCTGCTGCTTGGAGATCGAGACCATCCTGACTAACACGGTGAAACCCCGTCTGTACTAAAAATACAAAAAAATTAGCCGGGCATGGTGGTGGGCCCCTGTAGTCCCAGCTACTGGGGAGGCTGAGGCAGGAGAATGGCGTGAACCCGGGAGGTGGAGCTAGCAGTGAGCCGAGATTGCACCACTGCACTCCAGCCTGGGTGACAGAGCAAGACTCTGTCTCAAAAAAAAAAAAAAAAAAAATCCTGCTGATTGATAATCCTTCCTTGGGGCAGGGGAGATGACGGGCAGGATTTATGTCCTCTTCCACCTCTCTGTCTATATGACACATAAATATCTCAGGATCTTTATCTGCAAGTGGATCTAATAAGAGTACCTAACTCAGAATGTGAAGAATAAATATTATACATGAAGTACTTAGCCCAACATTCAGCATACAGATGTTCATTCCTATATTTATGGGTTGTCTAGGTATGCTTAGGCTGCTCTAACAAATTACTATGGAATGAGTGGCCTAAGTAACAAACCTTTATTTCCCACAGTTTGGGAAGCTGAGAAGTCCAACATGAAAGTCCCCGCAGATCTGGTCTAGTGAAGGGCCTATTACAAGTTCATAGACAACCATCTTCCCTCTGTGTCCTCACACGTATGAAGGACTGAGAGGCTCTCTGGAGTCTCCTTTATAAAGGCACTACTCCCATTCATGAGGATTTCACCATCATGACCTGATCACCTCCCAAAGATCCACTTCCTGATGCCATCAAATTAGAGGTTAGGATTTCAACGTATGAATTTGGAAGGGACACAAATATTTAATCTGTCACATGACCCATTATAACTTAAATGTATGACTGCTAGTGCCTCCACAGTGTATGAGTAGTTTTGTTTTCTTTTTTTTTTTCCTTTTTTGGGGGGCATTGGGGGACAGAGTCTCATTCTGTTGCCCAGACTGGAGTGCAGTGACACAATTTTGGCTCAGTGAACTTCTGCCTTCCAGGCTCAAGCTTTGCTTATGCCTCAGCCTCTTGAGTAGCTGAGATTACAGGAGTGCACCACCACAACCAGCTAATTGTTGTATTTTTAGTAGAGACAAGGTTTTGCCATGTTGGCCAGACTGGTCTTGAACTCCTGGCCTCAAGTGATCTGCCTGCCTTGGCCTCCCAAAGTGCTGGAATTACAGGTGTGAGCCACCATGCCAAGCTTAGTAGTTTTGTTTTCTATAACAAATTTTTTAAGTTGAAACTAGCCCAACGCCTTGTGGGGATCAATGCTGGTTACTAAATGCACATGATACCAAAAGTTGATATGTATGTTTGAGTATGACAGATAGTCGGTTCGAATTTCAGAATACTTTAGTGTTTCATCCAAGGAAGCAAACTTTGGGATATGTAAGAATGGTGCTTGGACTTCATTGATCTTATTACTTCTGCCCAGAGTCTTCTGCCTTCTTTCCTTAGCTTGTTTCATTTGGCCTCTCTTTTTATGGCTAACTCCTTCATGAAGCTTTCTCTTTTCCAACCCACATTAATATCTCTCAACACTTATGCACTTGAAAATCTGACCATAAGGTCTGTTTTTAAATTTTTTTTTCTAAGACTTTACATGTACAGTTGTCCCTTGGCATCTGTGGGAGATTGGTTCCAGGACCCTCATAAATACAAAATCTATAAATGCTCAAGTCCCTTATATAAAATGGTATAGTATTTGCGTATAACCTTCATATATCCTCCTGCATAGTTTAAATCATTTCTAGATAGGTTATAATACATAATACAATGTAAATGCTATAAAAATAATTGTCATACTATCTTCTTTATGGAATAATGGCAAGAAAAAGTCTGTGCGCATTCAATACAGATGCAACCATATTTTTTTTTCTATTTTCAATCCACAGTTGATTGCACCCATAGATGTGGAAGCCATGGATAAGGAGGGCCAACTACACTTATTGTATCTTTCCAATTAGATTTTAAGCTGCCTTAAGGCAAGGATCATATTCAATCTATTTTTTTATCTAGGACAGTAGTTAGCACATTGCTGAGTTCACAAGAGGCTTTGAGAAAAAGACTGGTTGATTGGCTCACTAATTAAGTCACATTGAATTTTTAAATTTGTAGTTCAATTTACTAGTTTATTTGTAGTCTGGCACTCAAATCAGTAGTTTTCTTTTTCAGTATTACACCACTGGCCTTTAAAGCATGACAATTATGTTATAGAATGTCAGCTATGGTGTGGAATCTCTGAATTGTTTATTGGGATGAAAGAGTAAACAAAGCCAACGACTTCCTTTAATTAGAAGGCTTTTGAAATTACAGTGCATGAATTGCCAGGTTGCCCTTAAGAAATACTGGATTTTTTTGCCATTTAAATGCTCCAAAACCAATACTTCATTAGACTTACTGTCACTTCCATGTGTCTGTTTACACTGAAAAGTACAATGATAGCACCAGTGACCTGAAATAATTGCCATGTAAGTTTGATTCTGATGAAAGTTCAATTTTTGCTGAGAGATGCCTGGAGCTCAACTCACTGCACTGACAGCAGCCTGTAAGTTTCTCTCTTTTTCTGACCTTGTAAAGAGGGAGCAGGAGCAGTTCAGGAAGACAGACCTGTGAATTCCCTCCCTTCCTCCTCACTGCTTCCCTCAGGCGTGAAGCAACAGTTCTGGCTTCAGAATGAAATGAATCATTATTCTACTTTTCGTGATAAGGTATGGGATGCCGATGAGCAATCTGCTGCCGATGGGCAGCTAGCCATGGCAGGTCAGAGAGCAGGCCTGCGGAGACTGCCCTTCCGTGGAGCCACGCAGAAGAGGCCATCCCTGGACTTTACAAGCAGAAAATAACTACTGAACTAGAAATCGCTCAAAAAATTCAAACGCCCAAGTAATGACTATTGAACACAAGAAACACATAACAGGAGAAATGAGAAAGAATTGTAAAAATGTAGACATGAAATGGTTTCTCTTTAGCAAGGCTTCTTAACTATTTTCTGCCCTGAAGCTCTTTGCAACTGAGTCTTTATTGAGTATGATTTATTTATTTGTTTACCCCTTCAGCAGGCCAGCCCTAGGCAAAACTCCTAAAGTAGAAATAATCGCCTCCTATGTCCTCCCCAGAACCTCTATCTGGTCTCATATTAAGCTTCCTCCATGACCTCTTGTTGTCCACTGGATAACCAAACCCTGCATAGGGATTTTCCACAGATGTTCTAGGGGGTCTCATGCCCTCAGTCTTTGCTACCTCCTGACCCCTTCCAAGCAGGGCAATCCCCTTCCCTTGCCTGAATTACTTAAGTAATTCCCTTGCCTGAATTACTTAAGACTCGCCCAATTGCTACTAACAGAAAAATTCATGAGCTAGCTAACCCAAAAGGAGAATTTATCGTAAGGATGCAGGGGTGTTTCATGCACTTCAAGGGCTAGAGGCTGCTAGGCTTCAAACACAGACTGGAATTACAGATGATCAGAACCTCTCTCACGCTTCTTTGCTGCTTCTCAACGGATTTTGAGTTTCAGTTTTTTCTCTCTTTGACTCTAAGAAATGCCTTCCATTCTGTGGGGTTCATGTGGCAAACAAACAAATAAACAATAAGGCAAAACATGTGAAACAAAAAGCAAATAAGCATGACTCACAGCAAAAGTCCACACGACACAGCCAGCAATCTGGAGCAAGATTTGCTTATGTGAAATTTCAGCTTTATGGGAAAAAGTTGTATGGACTAGCTTTAACAACATGGATAACCCAACCCAACTAATGTAAACACAGCTGCCTGCCACCCTGTGACCACGTGGAAGGGAAGAAGCAGTTCCTAGAAAATGGGGGCAAAAAGCCAGTAGGTGTCCACTTTTCTACCATCGTCTTCAAAGACACCATGCAGTTTCTCTTCCCCAGGCATGAACTCTATGAGCTCACAGCTGCTTCACTCCTGTTAACAAACCATATCTCAGAAGAAAAATTGGAAAATTCTCCTAAACTGAGAATTAGAATGGTGGAAGAGGAAATTAAAGTTCCTCAAATCACAGCAAGAAGCTGGAGAGTTAATCTGATGACCCTGAACTTAGCTTGTTCTACATGTGATGAAATTGATTTTAAGTAATAAACTTCCACAAAGTCATTATTGTCCTCTCCTTGGTGAAAGCTGGTTGTTAGTGTCCCCAGTTATAGCACCACAAGTTGTTTTCCTTTTTCCTGGAACTCTGTTGCTTGCTTTAGTAAATGTTTTATTTATACTTTTAAAAGTATACATATTTACTTTATTGTTTGCAGTATTTTTATAAACACACACAGTATATATCTATGTCTATCTCTTTAGGTGTTAAAACAGGTTTGTTGTTTAAATCTGTATGTTTACTATCTTTTGTGTATGCTTGATTTATCAGTTTCTGACACTATCATTGTGAACTTGTCAATTGCTTTGTCAAATTCTGCTGGATTCTGCTTCCCTTTCATGCGTGCTCTCTCTCTCTCCTCTCATCTTTGTATATTAGGCTACATTGTTAGAAATAAGCTCATGATTATCTGTGCCTTTTGAATATTTTCTTTTGTTCATATGTAGTATGTGCTTTTATGCCAGTTGATGCTTTTTGCTTAAATTCTGTATTTACTGAGTTTCACACTGCTACATCTTAAGGGTCATTGTCATAGTTACTAGTATTTGCCTAGTAAATCTTTTTAATTACCTTTAATATTTTCATGTAATTTTGTTTTTAGATAAATATTTTCTAAGCAGTAAGTGTGGAATGATATCTCATTTATTTGTCCATTCTCATAATCTCTCATTTTAAATGTGAGCCTAATCCAATTATTCATTGTCATTATGGCTGTATTTTCACTAATTCTAAATAGTTTATTCAATACATTCAGTTTCCTATCCTTTTATAGTCAATAGTTAGTTTAATTTTGTATGTTCCTTCTTTTTGTCTTACAGTCCATCTTTTCCTCTGTGTCTGTTTTTCATCTCGGTAAATTCACCTTTTAATTTATTATTATTATTTTTTTTGGTAAGTATCTGTAGGGAAGACTACCTTAGTTATTTTCTGAGGGTGTCTTTATTTGGCCTTTATTCTAATAACAGTTTAGCTTGGTAGAAATGTCTTGGTTTTCTTGGCAGTAGGAAAACATCTTTTTCTTCTAAGGTCACTTGTTGCACGTGAAAGAATCTGCTCTCCATCCGATTGGTATTCCTTTGTAAATAGTTGGCTCTTTCCATCTAAGAGCTTTATTTATTTATGTTTGTTTGCTTATTTATTTATTTAATCCTAAAAGTCATTCTGATATGTTTACATGCAGCATTCACCTAATGCTTGAAAAGCACTTTTCAATTTAAGAACATACCCATTTTGAAAATTTTCAACTATTATTCAGATAGTTTATCTGCCATTGCCTCCATCATCTTCAGTGAGAACTCACTGTTTTATCTCTGAAAAACCCCTCAAACTAATAATTGTGTCCTTTATCTGACTTTTAGTATAACTTTAAAGATTAAATCGTTGGGTGCTGCACTCTGAATTTATATTGCAGGGCTATATTCTAGTATACTAATTTTCTCATTCGCTCGGTTTAACTAGACTTTACCCATATTTTTTCCCCTTTTATTTAATGATTGTATTTTTCGTTTTCAAAATATGTAATTGCATATGTTCATAGTCAGTTACTCTTGTTTTATTTCTGCTTGCTATTGTTTTGTAAACTTGCTCTTTTTTAATGGAAAGTATTCCTTCATCTATCACATCAAACTTCTTAAACATACTTTTACATAATCTTTGTCAGACTCATCCATGGAATTAATTTCATTTGAAATGAATGGTAAGGCAAGAATTATGTCTATCCATACATTCCTAATGTGTAGCACATATTTGACACTAAGTAGAGATTCAGAAAAATGTTTAATGAATGAATATGTCAGTGTTCACTTTTTGTATAATCAGAGATATTTAATGGTCATCTAGAGTTTAGAGGTTATATGTAGTTCACTACTACTCTTGTCCAATGATGAGAGAACTGAAACTCAGAAAAATATTATCACTTCTCTAATTAAACAAACACTCCTTTGGAAACCACCAGTGGACCTCAGGTTGCATAATATCTCTCCTGCTGCCTTCATTCTATTCCATCTCAAAATACTCTCTCTTTTTTTTTTCATTCAGTCATTTACTTATTCATTCATACATGTATGCTCTCACTTAATTTTAGGATTTTCCTTTTGCATGTATACAAGTTAATCAAATTAATCCTCAGGAATAAATTTTTCACTCAGGATGGTATTTTATAACGTGCAATAAATTCAGACAATGTTTGTATTACTATAAATAAAAACCTCGTTAAAAACAAGTAAGAAGAATTTTATTACATTTTAGTTAATTTATTTAACAAATATTTTTAATAGTGATTAAAGAAAGGAAATGGCAAGATCCATTATAGATTTTTAAGCCATGTTGTAATCAACCTTAAATATATATTTTTTGTTTGTTCATTTGTTTGTTTGTTTGGAGACAGAGTCTCGCTTTGTTGCCCAGGCTGGAGTGCAGTGGCGTGATCTCGTCTCACTGCAACCTCCGCCTCCTGGGTTCAAGCAATTCTCCTGCCTCAGCCTCCCGAGTAGCTGGGACTACAAGTGTATGCCGCTATGCCCAGCTAATTTTTTGTATTTTAGTAGAGATGGGGTTTCACTGTGTTGCCCAGGCTGGTCTCGAACTCCTGAGCTCAGGCAATCTGCCCACCTCGGCCTCCCAAAGTGCTAGGATTATAGGCGTGAGCCACCACGCCCAGCCAAAGATGTATTTAAACACCAAAGTTTTAAAATATTTATGCATTAAATATGCTTAGTGTCTTCTGTAGCAGAAAGGATGTGGATTTTACATTTTGATTTCTAAGCAAATTAATGATGTAGCCATAAAGCATAGCAGGATATAGTGGGCTATAAAGAAACCAATTTAAGTAATTTGTGCAAATACTTTAAAGTTTTATGAATTAAATTTCAAACAAATTCTCTATGACAAGGCAACTTCCTCATAGAGCACAGCTCTAGTCATTTTGATGTACAGATAGGAAATTAAAAAATTCAAATTAAGAAATTAAGTCTCATGGGTCTACATCAGCTGATTTGTAATTTGCTTTATCTTTAAAAACAGTTTTCTTGAATTTAATATGCCAGCAGTTATAAAGCTATCTTTCTCTCTGCTATCTACTGATAATTTTGCGTATCTGTAATGATCTATGTTCTTTTTATTTTAAGGAAATATAGTTCACCAGGATGGTTGAGAACAAAAGTATTGTGGTGAAACAAACCTAGGTTTTAACCCCACTGTAGCCATGTACTACTATGCAATAGCATGCAAGTTACATCACCTCTGTAAGACTCAGTTAACAGGTCTGCGAAACTGGGATAAGAATATACAGACAGTTCCTGACTTACAATGATTTGAATTATGATTTTTTGACTGTACAATGGTGAGAAAGTATGGTTTCAGTAGAAACTGTACTTCAAGTACTCATACAATTATTCGGTTTTTCACTTTCATTATAATATTTAATAAATTACATGAGATATTCAACACTTTATTATAAAATAGGCTTTGTGTTAGATGATTTTGCCCAACTGCAGGCTAATGTAAGTTTTCTGAGCACATTTAAGGTAGGCTAGGCTAAACTATGGTGTTTGGTAGGTTAGGTGTATTAACTGCATTTCTGCTTAAAATATCCCCTTTTCAACTTATCATGGGCTTATCAGGACATAAACTTGTAAATGGAGGAGCATCTGTATATGCCACAGTTTTCCTCTGAAAAGAAAATGAGATAATGTGTTATAAACTATTTAGTACTCAGTAAATGTTACACAGTTCTTACTAGAGTTATTTCCATTTTTACATACACACATATACACACACACACCTCCCTCTGTCAGCCAGTATTTCTAAAATATTTCTACTGTTATTATTGATCATTTAAAGTACTTTTTACTGATTCATTAAAAATCTCCCCAGTGGGGAACTGTGCAATATTTTAGGGTGGTAGTCTCTATATTATTGAAGTTAAAATATTGAGTGTTTTGGTCAGATAAGCAAGGGTGAGACACAAAATAGCATGAGCAGCTAACTTCTCTAAACTCCAGTTTCCCCATTCATACAACAAAAAGGATAATAGCACTATATAAGTTGCTGAGCGTATAATTTATATAGAGGGTTAGTCCATTGTATGGAACATATTAAGTACTCAGTTAATATAACCTATAATTATGGCCATAATAATAAAATACAATTTGGAGCATGTACACAGAAAGACAGATTTGAGGAAAAGTATGTGCTTTCCTTGGTGTTAGAGCATTGGCAAATGTCTTTAATACTGTGACATTCAACTGTGAAAACCAATTATTACACAATTAGAAGCATCCTCAATTAGGGAAAGATTAGGTCATGTTTTTAAAACACCCACCAATATTTTCTGTCAATCCCATCTGTGACACGAATAAGAGAGACCCCAGTTAGCAGTTGTTTAAATCATTTTCCTAATGCTGGCATCCGTCTCCTTGGAGACATCCATCAGAGACTTGTGTTAACATCTTTCAAGTTGCATCTGGATAGGACCAGTATGTGATCAGTGTATTGGTACATTTCACTGACAGACAATACAACATTTGCTTTCATTCTATCTTTAAACTTGTTTGTAATATATAAATACTTCATAATATATATGCCTATTTTTATTGGTGTAACCATAAGGACACAGCATGTTGATTATCAAAAGAAACTACCATATATTTAGCAACTTATCTTCTGGATGTAAGAAATTTATTTAAAAATTAAATTTTAGTACATGAAACTGGCTATGAATTTCAAAAAGTAAGGGAAATAGATAAATGCTATAATGTACATTTAAGGTAAAAGGAAAATGGGATGCTATCAAAAATCTTTATTATCTATATTTTTATATCTGTTTATAATTTAAATATGTTGCATTTTACAACTATACCATTCATTCTGAGCTAAATAAAACTGGAATTTAAGAAGACAAAATACTCTAGAAATGCTTGTTATCTCTTAGGATCAAGGAAGAGAAAGTCTGGTGATGGGTGGGAGGAAAACATAAAAAATAAAATACTTAACACTGACATCCAATTCTGTAGTTTTAATGTAAATTATTTCATTCTTTGAATATTTTGTATTTTTAGCCTCAACTAAATAAACAGATTCGAATAGGTGTCTTGGACAACTGCTAAGTGGGCAGTTGTCTAGAGCCAAGACACATAGGCAGAAACAGAGAAGAAAGACTAACTCAGATCTTCTGATTACAAGCACTGTTTGAAGACCTCCACAACTGCCTAGGAAAAATTAAAAAGAACAAGGTACAGCTTTAAGTTTAGGTTAGGTAAAGACATTTCTCTTAAAATCCTCAAAGCCATAACAACACTGATGGTCTAAAATGCTAAAGGCAGGAGATGAGATTGGATGATCTTTAAAGGCTCTTTACAGACCCAAGATTCCATATAGCACCTGTTGGCTTCAGAATTGTTTATCATAAGCTCATGGTCATCAATATAATGCAATAGTTACTAAAATTTGCACGTTCAGTAATGAATAAACTAAATAAAAACCTGGTTAGAAAAAGATAATATTCATAACATTTCGAACATTAAAAGAATGAAAAGAAGAATTAACAAATAAGGAAAAATTTGTGTTCACCAAACATTTTGATGAATAGATAGTCTGAATTTCTAAATACAATACTACTAGATTGGTCCCCTTTCTGTAAGTATTTCACAGCACTTGATAAACATTAAATTAGAGCTTTGTTCAGCATGGCTGCTTGGTGAATATTAAATAATAAAAAAAATCAAAACACCACTATGAAGTCGAAGGGAATATTCCTTTTTTCTGGATATTTTCCTTCATGTTTACAACTTTAATAAAATTTAAGTGGTATATGCTATGCCTACCAACTGCTTAAAAATTAAAAAATGTGGTTGATGTTTTGTCATCTTAATCAAAATTTGCATTCCAGTTTCCTTGGGAAACTCCACATGCTGTTATACAACTAATCCTTCCACTACCTAGCCAAATAATTAATACCTTTACAAGCACATCATAAAATATAGATTAGTAAATAACTCATTATACACTTAATTTCGATACTAATTGCCTACAGGCTTAATGAGCTCTTCATTGTAATAAGAAAACTGATGTTTATTTTTATTAGATATAACTTCTAAACAAAACACACTGTATCAATCTATGACCCAATTTGATGTTTAATTCTTACGGGGAAAATCTTACCATTGACTAGTGTTAAAAGATTTAAATTATTATTGTATAATAAGGTGTTAAATTAGAAATTTTGACTGACACACCACAACACAAAAGATGATGAATTCTAAAATGGTGCAAGATTAAATTTACACACACACAAAAAAAGCAGGGTAAAACTAGTTCAGCTTAAGTGGATAAGAGAATATGATTGTGGGAGCTGAGAAGAGAAAGTGAAGGAGATATAAGTGGAAAACCACAGACAGGAGTAGAGTGGGTTGTGGCATCCTCCAAAACGAGAAGGGCCTTCAGCTGGGCCACTTTGAAAACCTGAACTATGAGCTCTGAGATCACTGGCCACAATGGGCTAATATCTGACTTGCCTATAAGTATAAAAGGTAGGGACAAGCCAGGTAGTGCAGACCAGGTAATGAGAGAAGTTACTATTACATTTGAATCAGCCTGTTTCCCACTGTTTGTCAGGACAAAACTTGTTCATCAAGGAGCAGATGCAGGCTATCCCTGAGAGAGCTATCCAAAGATCATGTTAGAATCTGTCAAATAATGCCTCCTAAAGGTTAATAGTTCTCGGTAGAGAAGAAACTACATGTAGGCCATTAGGTTTCTGAGATGAAGTGGAGTTCATTTGCTCTAGTCAAGTGAACTTTCTTGTGAGAGACCCAGCAGGGACTGGGATCCCTGAAGAACCTTCAGGGAGCCAATCAGCTCCAAATACCTGTCAGGCTTGGAGAGCAGGAGCCAACCAGGGACATTACAGTCGAGAAGGAAATTTTCAGCCTCCCAACTTCTTTTCCCTCCACCCCCACCTCCCAACTAGATCTCCAACCACAGAAGCCTCAGAACTCTTTGCAAGATGGAGGAGAAGGAGCTGTGGAATACTGGCCTTCAGCTCTCCACCTTACCAGCATAGGTCCTCCCCTTTAGCAGGTACAGCTGTAGAAACTGGAAGCAACAGCAATTTTGGATAAATGTGGAGCTTTTGAAAATGACATGAAACTAGGCCTTCTAGTTATAGAATTAAATTTGTGTTTTACCACTTAGAGTGAGCTTTTCAGAGGTTAACAAAGAGCAGAAATGTCACAGAATAGCCTAGGTTCTAAACTAGGGGCAAGGAATGTTTCCCGAACCTCAATGCATTTGAAGTGACACTGGGAGGAAAAAAAAAAAGATGATGTCTGATTAAATACAATGAGTTCTGTCTGTTCAACATAATAGTTAGACATGTTTTTAAATTTTAAAAATTGGTATTGATAATTTGAAATGCCCCAAAACTTGAGATCCCTAGCTTTTAAATTAAGGAAAATGAGGCAATAGACCTAACTTTTTAAAAAATGCACTTTAAATTTTAGAACTTCCCCGGAAAATTTTTTTGGGGATCTCTAGATGAAGGTAAATATAATTTGATGATAAAAAGTCACATGGGCAGATCCTTCTAAATTTGTAAATGGCAAATCAAGCAAATTATGGAAGAATCAATGATTCTTCTCTGGGCAGTGACCTAAAACTCTTCTCTGGGCGATGCCTTAAAACTCTTTTCTTATTAGGAAACCGTAAGGCCTCACTTCATTTAAAGGGAGAGGGAAAGTATTCAAATTTTACCTCAACTGAATTGCCTCCAGAGATCTGGGATTGAATTCTATTCACTAAGGCACATTTTGTGCAGAATTGCTTCAATGCCTGCCCTGAAAATAGCTTAATTTTAAGTCATTTGCTCTTTAAATGGAAGCTGGAAGCTTTTTGACTTGAAAATAATATCAAACACGTAGAAAGGAGAGCTAGTTTCCTGATTAGAAACAATGAAAAAAATCATTTGAGACTGTCTCCCTTTTCTCCCTATTAAAACTATAATAATCCCTTTGCCCATAAAGACAAGCCATAGATCAAATCCAGACAAGAGATAAGTCATTGGCAAGGTAGCATCAAAAACATTTTGGTAACATAGCTAGTTTATATTAACCAAATCTTATGGTGAGAATCTTTGGATGACTATGACAATTTACAGCATAGGTTATTTTGTCCCTTCTAAGTGTTTATTATTTGACCAACATAATCTTAAATCAACTTATGTATCTTTTTCTCCATTTTCCAAGTTTAAAATAAATAATGCAGAAAGAATATATGTCTAGGAATATATATATATGTATGTAATATATATATAATATTTATTATTGTAGCTTATTCCTTGCCTTTGTGTGCACCCATGAAATGCTAACTACTTTACTTGATGACACCGATATAGTTGTTTATGTGCAGTGTACTAAATGATGGTAATATAATTGGTAAAATTGGCTTTCACTTACCCACAATGCAACTACAAAATGAAATGACACAAACATTAGTCTCAGGAATTCTGCCATGAAATCTGATTATTTGATTCTGTGTTAGTGACAGATACTGTATACTCTAATGACACATTAGAAGTAAGTAGCAACATTCAGAGACTGCTGTCTCTGCTTCAACTTTTTTAATGTTTTATTTTGAACAAGCTCTCCTAGAAAAAAAAAAAACAGTGAAGAAAAACACCAGTTTTGTTTCCGTATTTCTTTTTAATCCTAATTTATGGTTAAAGTTCCGATGTTGTTATCGACAAAAAATAATATATGGACTAATGTGCAAGTTATATTGTTAACCTCACGTACATTTCTGATTTACTGTGCCAAGAATCTAGAACTTAATAGAAGCAATGTTAATAGAACAGGAGTGGAGGGGCATACCCTGTGGCTTTATTAGTTTCTTAATTTCCTTTAGTTCCCAGATATGGTCCCTCAGTTCCCAAACATGGAAAGCAGTTGCTGGTGACATGCTCCATGCAGATATTGTCCACCCAGAGTTAGAAAAACTGCTGAGTACTTGTTGAATAATTGCTCTTTATACGTCATCAAAAAGGACATGTCCTCAAAGTTAGTGCTCAAGTGTCCTTGAACATAAACCTCTGGGATTCATTCACCTCCTGCTTCAGAGATGCTTAGCATGGTGCCTGAAATATTATCTATCCATATATTACATATATAAGATATAATATTATCTATTAAGATAGATAGATAGAGATAAAAATAGATTTATATATATATATCTCCCCTACCTCATCGAATATATACTGAGCCTGTCTTTGTTTATTGAATTTGTTGGGACACTACAAAGGTACATCAAAAGTAGATATGCTTCCCCCTCAAGAAATTTTATAAAGTCTTAGGAGAAAGTGGAAGGACTTATTATAACTCAAGAAATCAAGTCATCCACAAGCAGGAAATATTTAAACTGGGTTTTAGAGAAGTAATGCTTTTGGTTGTGAAAGTAGGCACGGACATTGGAAGTGATAGTGAATAGGAGAAGAACATCTCAGGCAGAGAGATAAACAGAGAGAAAGCAGATGGCCCATTACAAAAGTGTCTGAAAACATGTTCTCAGCATCACAGTCCTGATACGTTGAGCACTAAAGTTTCTGAATGTGAAGTGCACAGTCAACCTTTCCTTTCCTAATGGGCAAGTCAGGTAAACTCAGTACACAGAATAGCTGAATATAAATGAATCTCTGGCAAGTTATAGAACTACTATAAATGAACATCAAGGTTTTTTTTTTCACATTTCCTTTGGACACATATTAAACAGTTCCTTTTGGAATTAATTATGTAAAGAAAAAAGTATTTTCTTTTACATTTTAAAGACAAAGTGAGAAACGGTTATTCATTGCAAATGGTGTTAGAGAAAATTAAATGTCTAAAATGCATTTGCACAAGGATGCTATAAACTGTTAAAATATCACCAGGTTTTTTTTTTAGCCTTTGCTAAAATTCTTGATTTATTAGCAGTTCAAGTAAAATAGAAAGAGCATTCTATTGTTTTTTGATGGAACTAAATAATCACCACAAACTAATTGAATGATATGAAGTATTCAGGGTCTCTAAATTATGTTTTACTGTAACATTTTAAATATGTAATAACATTAACAAGACTTGACCATTCAATTATAAATACATACAGAAATTACTTTAAAGTCTAGAACATTACAAAACAATTATCCTTTACATTTGTTCAGCCAGCAGCTTAAAAGCAAACCTATTTGGAACAGCTGGAGCCTAAAACTGACATTTGAAATCACAGAGGCAGTGTTTTAAAAACTGTACTTAAAGAAGCCCCAGTTTTATACTATTTCTTCATCAACTACCCTGTTTAATGTTTTTGTCTCCTGAAAATGTGGGTCAGAATTTTTCTTTAAGAATTAAATAAGGGGCCAAGGTCAATCTGGGTGATTAATTTCAGATAGTAGGAGTAGTGTAATATATCTGAAGCATTTGTTCCTATTTTTTCCTGTTTATGGTGCCACCAGTCCAATTCTAACACTATTGCCTAAACTAATTGCTTCTTATTCCTCTTCCCCCCACCACCCTACACACACGTCAATACAAGCAAATTTGTAGCCATTCAGGTCAGTGCAAAATAATGAATTTTGTTTCAATACTGTCATACATCTGTTTCTAATATGTCTCGGATTCAGTATTATTGTTGTGTGAAATTTGCAGTAAAATCTTAAAATGGAACCTCCTTGCCTGGGATATGAACCGTGTAGTATTTCTTTTCTCTTATGAAAGCAGAAGGTGTTAATATATTGCCACAATTCTTAAGCAAAACTCACCAAGGAATTGATCTAGTCCAGTCTGTAGTATATCTGTAAATCATCACTTGAGGAATAAAGTATAAATAATCTCATCCTTGAAATAAAAATTCATTTGTTAAGGAATTCTACTAACTTATGCTTTTAGTATGTGTGGCTTCCTAAATATATTAGCTAGGAAAATGTTTCTTTGAATTTTAAATATAGTAACAGGAAGAAATAACATAATTTACCATTTGAAAGTCTTAATTGGAATGGGCAGATAACATAATTAAGATTTTGCAATGGCATATAAAATTCTTAGTGGATCAAATCACCCTTTTCACCAAAAGGGAAGCGTGGTGCATGATATTCCAGTGATATAGCCAGAAAACCCAGATGCTCCTCTGTCCTTATCCAGCACTCATTGCGAAGGAGAAAACTAGGATCCTTCAGGCAAGCGAAGAGTGTTACCTTCAGAGAGGGAAGAGGAAAGGTCTTCACAGGTGAAGCTTGTGTACACCTTTTAAAACAAGAGTAGTGGATAATTAAATGGAGAGATTACAGAGAAAAGAAGACAGTCAAGGACTAAATTTTGAAACTTCTGAATTTACAGAGAAGGAAAAAATGCATTCTAGGAGATGGGGAAGGAGCACACAGTAAATCACATAGAAAATCAGGAATGTGTGGTGATTAAGGAAGCCGAGAGAAGATAATGTTTCATGGAAGAGGGAGTTACTGACTTTGTAAAGTACACTGAGAGGTGGAGGTAGATTAGGACAAAGAAGGAACCATCCATTTTGCCAACATGAAACTGAAACTGATTGGTGACAGTTTTTGAGAAAGAGTAGAAACTAAAGCCTAACTAAAGTGGTGTGGAAAATGGAAGGTGAGGAGCTGGAGTCAGAAACCACAGACAACTCTTTTGAGAAACTTTGATGCATGGTAGCTAGAAGGAGAAATGAGGTCAAAGGTGGCTTTTAAGGCCAGGCGCGATGGCTCACACCTGTAATCCCAGCACTTTGGGAGGCCGAGGCAGGTGGATCATGAGGTCAGGAGTTCAAGGCCAGCCTGACCAACATAGTAAAACCCCGTCTCTACTAAAAATACAAAATAAATTAGCCAGGTGTGGTGGCCTGTGCCTGTAATCCCAGCTACTCAGGAGGCTGAGGCAGGAGAATTGCTTGAACCCGGGATGCGGAGGTTGCAGTGAGCGGAGACTGTACCACTGCACTCCAGCCTGGGTGACAGAGTGAGACTCCATCTCAAAATAAATAAATAAGTAAATAGTGGCTTTTTAATTTTTTTGAGGTAATTTTAGGTTTTTCAAAGAATCACAGAAATAGTACAGAGTTCCCATATTCCTTTTGCCCATCTTCCCCTTATGTTAATATCTTACTTAACTATAGAGCATTTATCAAAACTAAAAATCAACCTTTGTACAACACTATTAAATAGAGCACAGAACTTATTCAGTGTTTTCACTACTGCATTTTTCCTTGTCCCAGGATCCCACATCTCGTTTAGTTGTCATGATGCCTTCTCTCCTCGAATCTGAGACAGGTTTTCAGTCTTTCCTTGCTTTTCAAGACTTTGAACGTTTGAAGAATACAAGTCAGTTATTTTGCAGAATGCTCCTTGGATTGGGTTAGTCTGATGTTTTTTCATGGCTAGACAGAGGGTATATGTTATTGAAAAGGATATCACAGAAGCTATGTACCCTACCTCAGTGCTTCATATCAGGGGGTATGTGGCATTGAAATGAATTCTTGGTAATGTTGACCATGATTATTTGGTTAAGGTGGTGTCTTCCATGAGTCTCCGTGGTAGAGTTACTGTTTTTCCTATTGTAGTTACTAACCGTTTTGGAGGAGATACTTTGAGACCACGCAAGTTTCTGCTTTCTCTTTATGCTTTTGCCCATGAAGCTTACCTCCATTGGTGGATCTTGTCTGGGGCAAATATGACTGTGGCATTCTAATGCTAATTTCTACTTTCCTCTTCATTATACATTTCTTACTTGAAAGTAAAGAAGAGATATCATTTCTCTCCTGTTTATTTAGTTAGCAAATAATTTATTCAGTTATTTAATTACCTATTTATATCAGTAAGAACTCCAGGGTATTTCTTGGTATTCTTTTGTTTATAATCCAATACTATCTTTATTTATTCTCTTGCTCAGGTTGCTTTAACTTTGGCTATTGGGAGCTCTTTCAGGTTTCCTCCTATGACCTTTTCATATGCCTTCTTTTAATTTTTCTTCTTTTTGTTTTCTATTCTTTTTTTTCCTGTGTATATTCTTGTATGTGTATACATTTCCTTACTTTCTGGCACCACAGATGCTCATCTTCTATCTTCCCTGACCCAGCCCTGGGTTCAAACAGTTCTCCAAAGGGCCCTGGTTACTTTTATTGGAAAATGGTATTTAGAAACTGCCATCTGGCCCCTGGTGTGCTCGTTACTAGGGCAGTGTCAGTGCTTCCAGCCACAGGGGTTGACTTTTAAGATGAAAGGTAAGGATTTTGTATGATAGTGATGAGGATTTCAAAGAGAGTGAAAAATTGACTATGCAGGAATAGTGATGCTTTTAGGAACACAGTTATTGAGAAGGAAGTGGTAATAGGTTCCAGGGCACAAGTGGAGGGGCTGTGCTTTGATAGAAACTTGAGACACTATTCATTGTAACAGGGAAAAAGAGAGAACATGGCTCAGATTCAAATAGATTTTGATTTCGGTAGAAAATGAGGAAGTTTCTGTTTGTTTCCCTGGTGTTGTTAATGAGTGTTAGTCAAGATATTAGCTAAGAGTGAAGGGAATAAAACTGATGGAAGTTTGAAGATAGAGATGATATTAGAGAGTAGAATTCAACCTAATAGTAGAATTGCAAGGCTTTATGGATTGGCATTTGGGAAATTCGGGGGTCATAAATATAAAATGTGACAGCATGCTTTTCTGGTGCAGATGTGGAGTAGGCAGATGTATTTGACCAACCTAGAACTGCAGTTTTGCCAGCTGACTATAATTGAGAAGAAAGTGAGCAAGAGAAATAAAAGTATTTGTCAGTGTTTTAGTGATGTAATGGTGGGCCATAAAATTAAACTGGATAAGGGAACACACAGGGGAAATGGTGTTAGCATTATTAGTCTATTGTCATAGAAAAATATAATTGAGTTTGGTTTATGGTTTCAAATTCATTTATATAACTTAGGGATATTGCAACTGCAGCTGAGAAATGTAGAGAACTTGTAGAGCATTATTTTGTGTTCCTTTAAATCGAGTCCACACCAGTGGTGTTGCCATCTTCTCTACGTTTTTCTTCCCTGACTTTTTCAGTTGACCTCCTACCTCTTATACATGTCTTGGTCTCTAATACCCTTTTTCTCTCATCGCCCTTCTTTTCTACCAAATCCCAATATTTCAAGACCACTTCTAAGGTGGGAACATCTGATAATTTCTTAAGCAGTTAAGCAAGCAAAAAAAAAATGTCATTACTGCTTTTGTCAGGGAAAAGGTGATTTTTAAGCTTAAGGGGTCAAAGTGAGCTTCCACAAGGTCACTAAAATAACAAATTTGAGAATCACTGACAGCATCATTGTCAATCTTTTATCTGAAAACATTTCCTGTATCCCAATCAAGGTCAGATAAATGAAGCCAGAAAAGTAAAAATAAAACCTATTCTGTAGGAGACTCCATTAACTTATCTGAAAACAAATTGATGCAGGGATGTGGTTTAATTTTTCACTGGTCAGAGTCATTACTTTGTGAGACATGTTTGGTCACCTTTGATGTGTCAGCTAAATGACTGTTTCTAAAATTACTTTGACCATTATTCATGAGAGTGTTAGTAATTACTCAGTGGTTAATGAAGTTGGTTTCCAGTTGATAATCGTTAGAAACTGAGCATGACCCGTTGCACAACAGCATACTGAACAGAAGTCTCAGATGTGGCTTCCCTCTGCACGGTGGACTTGGTTCTGACCTAAAAGCACTGATAACAGCTCTGAAAAGAGAACATTTTCTAAACAAGACATTCCTTGACATGCAGAAACTCTCATTTCAATGACCTACTATGATACTATGAGTATCATCCTCAAGCTCTCTCTGTGCTCCAACTAAATTGTATACAAACATGAGGGTAATTATTAGATTTACATGTGCCTCTCAACTAAATTCAAAGCCTATGGCAGGGATAGAAGATGGCTTGCCTTGGAATCCCAAAGTCTGGCCGATGCTGGACACAGAGCAGGCACTGAAATCTGAATGAGGCAGGCAAGCATCTCTCTGGCATCCAAAGTGAGTGAAGTTGGAGCAATCTTCAGCTCATATCCTTTATAATCCAGTAGCTGGTGGCCAACTCTGACCGTTTCTTTCGCCACATAGACTGGTCTATGGAGATTCATGGTGTTTTAGATGTAGAAGAGACATCGAAGTCCATCTAATCTGGCATATTCTCTTATATAAAGGAATAAAAAAACTCTCCCAAAAGGTTAAATGAATTTCCCAATATTACACAGCTAGTGTAGCCAAGCCAATGAAGTCACTGAGTTAAATATTTAAGCAGGAAAAAATCTTTTCAATGTCTGCTTGTTGAACAGGGGGAACAAAGCTCTCAGAATCAATGTCTAAGGGTTAAAATATTAGCTTGTTGGGAAAAATAATTAATCACTCAGTTCCCAGTCTACAGAGCAGAGCCTGAGTATCTCAGTCGTTAAATTTAAGGATAATTGGTCTCCAAACTAGTACACAACTAGTAATTCAAAATAATTTAAAAGAAATGCTGCTTTGGCACCATTATTTAAACACTTTTATTTTTTGTTGTCGTGTACTCCAAACCGCTCAAATAACAATTATACTTTAACAGGCAAACAAAAGGTTTTTTTAATCCAATTTTTCCTGTTTCTTGATTTAAAGGGAAAAACAAAACTTTCCTATGGAATTTGTTTAAGGAGACAGAAATGTCTATACAATTCTTAGTCCTTCTTTTGTGCTCAAAAATGTTTAATAGCTTGTGGATGAAAAATTTCAAAATTGGAGTTGCTTGGGTAAAATATTTTTATGTTTAGCAATGAATCGTTATTGGAATTCCTCAAAACATTTCAGATTTATTGCCACAACATTAGCCAATTTTATATTATGGTAGATAAAAGGGACAGAACTAGCATTTATTAAACATCTACTATGTGCCAAACGTATACAGGATTTTTATTTTTTGGTTTTTGTTTTTGAGACAGAGTTTCGCTCTTGTTGCTCAGGCTGGAGTGCAATGGCACAATCTCAGCTCACTGCAACCTCCGCCTCCCAGGTTCAAGCGATTCTCCTGCCTCAGCCTCCCGAGTAGCTGGGATTACAGGCAGGCGCCACCACAGCCATGTAATTTTGTACTTTTAGTAGAGATGGGGTTTCTCCATGTTGGTCAGGCTGGTCTCCAACTCCCGACCTCAGATGATCCACCTGCCTCGACCTCCCAAAGTGCTGGAATTAAAGGCATGAGCCACCACACCAGGCCACATATAGAGGTTTTCATATATTTTTCTCACTTGGTCTTCACAGAAACCCGAGGAAGTATTGGAACATTAACCCCATTTTTCAGCTATATTTACATCAGAGAAGTAACTTGAAAAATGTCATACAGCAGCGTTTAATTGAATCCTAGTCTGTCCAACTCCAAAGCTTTACCTGCATTTGGTAGAAATAAATTTAGATTCAGCAAACATTGTTTTCCTGGGGGTTGTTTGAGGAAGGGAACATATCTTGACAGGTGCTTTCTATAACATTATTTTATTTAATCACCCGAAGCCCATCTTCTCTTTATCACACACTTTTAATAAGCTGATAATTTTTATGTGAGTCTTGAGTATGCCCTTTTACAACAGAAAAGTGGGAAGATAAGTGTTCACCTTTATGCCAATAACAAAATGTTATTATCATAAACCAGAAGCGTTCCCCAGAGGCAGTCAGTCTTAGTATATAGCTACAAACAGATATATTAGCTCAACTTTAATTCATGCAAAACTAAGATTATTGTCTTTGCTAAACTTTCTTCAAAATTCAGTTGGTCAGTTCCAAATAACTCTGTCAAGCAAGTGAATTCATTCTCTTTCCTGGAGGTACGTTTCACAGCTAACTATTCTTGGCAGACACACTGAGAATCAATGCTGCTTTAAATCAGACATTTCGTAGAAGACTTGCTACAGTTTTTCTGCTGCCAGTGTGGGGGACTGTTCTCCCGGTGTGAAATGTTTTTAAGCCAAAACCTTTTCTATTGCATTCTGTGGTATAATGTGAAGTTTCAGTAAAATGTTTATCAAAGAGCCTAAACATATCTAACCTTCTTCCTGCAGAAGGACCCAAGGTTGCTTCTAAGTAGCCTGGCTGCGTGCAGCAGCATAGAAGATGAAAAGAGCATTTCTTCCACCGGAAATGAGAACTACTGTTTAGTCTTCTTGACTTCTCTGAGTCCATAATTTATCCACACAACTCACATGTTTTAAGGAGATGAACATTTATTATTTTTTATAATTGATCCCAACTTTCCTTATGAGTCTCATCACAATGGGAAGTTAATTTAAAATTGCAATAAATGGTGTCTTGTTTTGGTTAAAAAGCTTTGGATTTGGTACAACTTTTGTCATTTCAAAATTTAAATCAGGACCAGCACTTTTTCCTTTTTGTTCTTTCTTCTTCCGAGATGTTTCTGAGCATCAGGGAGGGAAAGTGTGAGGTTTTCAGGCATGCCAACAAGCCCGTGGGGAATCTGGTTTGACACTGGTCTGTGAGCTACAAGGCTGAAGTGTGGCCTTTCTGTGCAACCTGCTGGCATCTGCTGCTGAATCCCTCCAGCTAATATAACCCAGAGCCTCCTCTCTGTCTTCAGGGACTTTGGCCATCATCTCTTGTTTCCTGCACTCCAGATGCCCTTGGGTTTGATTCCCACTAGGACCCTCGGACAACTCCAGTTAAACCTTCAGACCCAAGACCACTTTTCTGGCAGGACCTCTAGCATGTTTCCCAGCCAGAATCTCAACTTCTTTCTAGGCCCTTCCTGGGCTACATGGGAATCTCTAGATTACTTCCATGCTGGGCACAGTCTGTTGGTGCAAGGTTATGCCAGGTGGAGTGGCAATTGGTCCCTGATGCCAAGCAGAGAACATGGCAAAAGTTCCTCTGCTCCCAGCTTTCCACTGAGCCTATCAAACACCTATCACATCTGGAATTTGAAGCATGAATGACAGCCTCCTGACTGTGTCTCACAATCCCCAGAGCTGAAGAAGTTGACTTTATCCCCCGTTCCCCAATTCCTCTATGACAAGAACTTACAACATTCCCTCTAACTATAGCATACAATAAAACTCTATGATATACTTGGCAAAGTCTCACTCTTAGTATGAAAATAGATGATTAAAACAATTAGAATATCATGTTCCCTTATGTTCCCTTTCTCTAAATTATGGATTTGAAAACTAGATATTCTTGTGACTCACGAATCCTGTTTTGTATACCCAACTCTTATTACCCTTTCTTTGTTTCTCATTGTACTTCTGCTTCAAGTATCCCAGTTTTTCAAAGGCAAATGGATGATCCTGATTGATTAGAAGACAAATACAGTAAAATACAAAAAATATATATGGAGATATTCAAGAGATTATTACACTTGCATTATCAAGATAGCCCTATCTAACCTTATTTCCAGATTATATGGACAAATATGCTCTTACTAGGGTAACAAAAACTTATCTTCTCTTTAGCTCATGTCAAAAGCAGACTGAGAAGGAACTCTTTATCCAAGTTAAGTGAAGGTTGGTGTCACCACACCTCTAGTCTTTATCTAAAGTGTTAAGTCATCAGGAAGTTGAATCACACTTAGTTTAACCTTTACTGAGTTATTGAAATGGTGCCCTTGGCTTTTATCAATAGAAAAGCCACATAAAAACTTCTTCCAATTCTCCTTCAATTATTTTGCCCATTATATTATAGAGTTTGCTATGCAAAAAAAAAAAAAAAAAATGAAGAATCTGATAGTAGGAAAACATCTGTAGCTTTCAAGAACTCAGCCTACTTTTATCCTACTTTCTCCTTATCCTGTTAGACTGTATAATTTTTCCTATTTCCATTTTTGTCCTGTCATTTACATCTTTCTTTGGAAGATGTATTCATATTATTCTGTGTATATCCTTCTTATCCACTGCAAACTCTTGACATATAGATAGGGTGCTGTGGTTTAAATGTCTCTTCTACAACTCATGTTGAAATGTAATTGCCATTGTGATGGTATTAAGAAGTGGCACTTTTAGAGGTGATTAGGTCATGAGGGCTTTGACCTCGTAAATGGATCAATGTTATTATCTCAGGAGTAGGTTGGCTATCACAGGAGTGGGTTCCTGATAAAAGGATAAGTTCAGCCCTCATATGCTCTGTCTTATGTTCTTGCTTCTCCTTTCTGCCTTCCACCATTGGATGATGCTCACTAGATGCTGGCACCATGCTCTCAGACTTCCCAGCCCCTAGAAACATGAGCCAACTAAATCTCTTCTATTCATAAATCACCCAGTATTTTGCTAAAGCAGCAGAAAACAGACTAAGACAGTAGGGTATAATTAATGTAAAATTAGTCCCCACAAAACTGTATGAGTTAGTTATTACATGTTTTACAGCTGATAAAACTGAAATTTATGTGGTTTCATACTTTGTTGAAGTCCTAAACTAGTCCTATAATTGGTGAGGCCAGGGTAAGAATCCAACTTTCAGACTAAATCAAATGCTCCTTCAGCTCCACCAAGAACATTTCCATTTTAAGACAAATTAAATCCCTATTTAATCAAGTAAACATTAGCTGTTTAATTTGTAATGTAAAAAGTAGTACTGAGAAGTGATTTTGAAAATAAAGCATTTTATATAATGTAAAACTGTCTAAACCAATGCATTAGTTAATAATAAGCTTTGATAAACACCAGAACAAAAATTTTGTCACTATTATTTTAGATGTCAATGCAATGTGCCTATTATTGAACACAAAGATGCAGAATATTTGCATATAACATTAACATAGGCAAATATTGATGATTGTTATTATGATATTATAGATTGTTTCTAAAAAATAACGGTGAGAATAATTCTATTATGGAGAAATGCTTCTACTTCTTGACTCATCAAACAGTGTATAGTGAAAATATAATGTTAACATTGGGAAATTTCGTATTCAAAGTACAAAAAAGTAGAGATTTTTCTAAAGATGACTTGCCTTTCCCTAAAAAAAAACTCTTTGAGTTACATGTTGCTTTATAGCCCTGCGCTAAAAAGGCACAATTTTCCTCTTTCAAGGTAATCCTACTTTTCCAATTGTGTTTGTGGAAAATGCTCCCTTTTGATTCAAGTAACTTTGCTGATTAAGGAAAACAAAACAAAAAAAGTCCCTAAACTACTGTAACTGAGTTTTTTTTAACAAATTAGTACTGTCCCTATAGACAATACAGAACCTGAAAGGAAAAGAAAGAGGAATTAAGCATACCAGTGACTGTTCCCCACGTTTTCACAGAATTCTGTTTAATCTGAGTTTTTATTATTTACTTTGCTTCTCCTTTGAGATAATCCTGCCTTATTTGAGGTCAGACAGAAAGCATAATTTACGATGCCTGACTGCTTTAAGAAAACCAGAAGCTTCCTACATTGTTCTTTCCTGTACAATTGGCTTAAAGAAGAGGTTTTCTGGTTAGAAAGGCTTTACTTCATGTTTTACTAACAGCGCATCACTTTGACTTAATACTATTAGGTTTCTAAAGTGACTCATTCAGATGAAAAATAAAGGTGCTGTGATTTTAAATTATCATAGAAATGTGAGTTTAAATATTAGTAATTACCTCAAACTTGCACATGACCTAGTAACCCATGTATTACATGATATACAATGCATTGCTTTTTAGATCAAACAAAAGAGAGTGTGTTATGTTTTGCACTTTAAAATCCATTAACTGTTCTCTCTCAGGAGAATGTAGACTAAATCTCAACCTTTCTCTCTGCAGTTTATGATGGTGATAGCAGCTAGATGGGGGAAAAACAATAGGTGATGAAGTTATTTTAAAAAGGCCAGACAGAATGCTTTTTTTCCTTGTATCAGGTTTCAGTCTCCTTCATGATTTATGTGTAGCATCCATGGTTTCTGTGAAGGTATTCAGGACATCATGGGCATCAAATACATAATTAAGACATAATGGAAGGTCTTGGATTGAATGGGTGAATGTGAGCCAAGGCTTGTGGCAACATTTATAGATTCTAGGTTAGTCAGTCTCACCCCCGGACTCTTCTTTCTACTCCATTTTTTTTCATCGTTGTTTTCCTTTTGAAAAAGCTACCTTCAGACTTTCTAAGTCTCTCTTTCTATAAAACCAGGAAGGGTTTACTTTGATTGTAATTTATGTTGATAAGGTAACACTCCTGGCCATTTGTATCTTTATTCCTTTAAGGTCTATTTTTGGAATGAAAGCCTGATCTGCTTTTCAAGATGCCCTAAGAGTTGGTGGGCAGGAAGGAGAAAGAAACTTTTCTTTGCCTCAATAATTATGCCAGACCTCAGCTGGATGTGGTGGCTCAAGCCCGTAATCCCAGCACTTTGGGAGGCCAAGGCGGGTGGATCACTTGAGGTCAGTAGTTTGAGACCAGCCTGGCTAACATGGTGAAACCCCATTTCTACTAAAAATACAAAAAATTAGCCGGGCATGGTGGTGTGTGCCTGTAATCCCAGCTACCCGGGAGGCTGAGGCAGGAGAATTGCTTGAACTGGGGAGGTGGAGGTTGCAGTGAGCCAAGATCATACCATTGCGCTCCAGCTTGGGCAACAGGAGTGAAACTCCATCTCAAACAAACAAACAAACAAACAAACAAAAGAAATCATGCTAGGCCTTACACTGAGAGGATGGTTCTATTTAATCATTTAAGGTACCTAATGGAAACTGGCTCAGAAAGCCAGTGTATACCAGGTATAGATTCGTTTTCCTGTTTACTCCTCGTATTCTAATACATATTTTCTGCCTTAATAAATATTTATTGGACTGATATGAATCTTGAAGTAGCAAGGTGGGGTGGAGGATGGTTGAATACAGCAGTGTCAAAGAATAAACCAATACACGTTTATTCTCTGCCTTCATGGATAATATATAAAATCCTGTGCAGAATAGAATAGATAATGGCCAATATAATAAGTGAGAGGAATGGAGACTCAGGGGTTTTGAGAGTGTGTAGCAGGGCTTTTAGCTGAGTTTTGAGTGGACATACAAGTTGTCTCAAAGAAGTGACGAGCTGAGGCTAAGTGACTCATTTGTCATGGATCAATGTTCCTAGCCTTCAGCGATAGACGATTCCTTACCGTCTCAACTACGCACTTCTCAACATTATGGCTGACCCTGCTGGGATAGTCCTGAGGACTGCTTCTATATATCCCAACTTTCCCTTCATTCTAGACAAGGAGATGAATTGTACTTTCATGCCACCTCAGAGTTAAGTTGGGCAATGTGATTCTCTTTGGCTAACAGAATGTAAGAGAAATGATATATATCATCTCTAGGCAGAACTTTTAATAACTGGCTAATGCTCTGTCACATTTTTTCCTCCTTCTATCATGCCACATAGAGGGGATGCCACGTCCTGGGTCATCCTGGGTTCTGGTCTGAGGACTACAGAAAGTGGAGCAGAGCCCCCTCAGCTAGGCAATGATAGATGTGGAAGGCGAGTAAGAAATAAACCATTTTTTTTTTTTTTTTTTTTTTTTTTTGCTTTAAGCCATCAAGATCATGAGATGGTTCACTTCCACAAGATAACCTAGACTATTCTGACTGATGCATCTGCCCACACTTCGGCTTATGTTATCTCACATTCGCCAGCACAACGTTAACACCCAGTCAAAGCACCTTTAGGTCAAAATATGAGATTAGTTCCTGTATATGGTATTAAAATGTGGCATTATGTTTTTGAGGTTTGTATTATTTATCGACAAGGAAATATATAGCATTGATATGGCTTGGCTGTGTCCCCACCCAAATCTCATTTTGACTTGTAGTTCCCATAATTCACACATCTCATGGAGGAACCAGGTGGGAGGTAATTAAATCATGGGGGCAGTTACCTCCATGCTTCTCTCATGATAGTGAGTCAGTTCTCTTGAGATTTGATGGTTTTATAAGGGACTTTTCCCCTTTTGCTTGGCACTTCTCCTTTCTGCCACCATGTGAAGAAGGACTGTTTGCTTCCCCTTCTGCCATGATTGTAAGTTTCCTGAGGCCTCCCCAGCCATGCTGAACTGTGAGTCAATTAAAACTCTTTCCTTTATAAATTACACAGCCTCAGGTATGTCTTTGTTTTGCAGTGCAAGAACGAACTAATACAAGCATCATAATTAAAAGCATGTAATCTTTGCCATTCTGGGTTTGAATCTTGGATCTTCTACTTATTACCTATGTAGCCCTAGTAAAGTTATTTAACTTTTCTGTTTCTCACTTTCTTCATCTTTCAAATGAATACAACGATGAGGCTACCCTGTATGTATACTATAAGAATTAAATGAGAACAGTGCCTGGCACATAGTAAGCATGATATAAAGATGAGCAATTATTATCATAATCCTAAGATTCTATGTGAAAAAATTCACCTTCTTAGCGAGTTTTGTTGCTTACCACATTATATCTCAGAGGAAAAGTTGAAATAATCTACTTTAAATATTATTTTTTGTTTAAATCAAAACCTGAAAAATGACCAAGAGTGAGTTTATCATTACTATAGTGCCCAGATCATTTGAAAACTTTCACCTCCTAAATGTGACTTTGCTTCCTGGAAGATGCTGCAGAGGTAGGCAGATGATTAAGGCACCAGACATTCTAGTGAAGCCCAGCAATCTTCTAGACCCAGAGGTGATAGAAAAGCAGGAATTTCTGGGCAGGTCACCTAGGAAAAGAGGCCAAGTCCTCAGCAGTGCCCTCATCAGCCCTGATGTGAGTCACTGTCTTGTTTCAGGGCACAGAGCAACAGTGATGTAAACAGAATGATTACTGAGGGGAAAAGTCCGAAGCAGGAGAAGTGATGCCACTGTAGGAGACCTTAGGATCCCAGATGCCTACAATACAAAAAGCCACATTTCATCCAAATCTGTAGCTAAAATAATCAGTTTTAACACATTTCCTTCAAGCAGTTTCGTCAACATATCTATACAGTGTATATAAATATCCCACAGCCATTCATCATCTCTTTCCCATGACATTTGCAATCTCGTGTTTTATGCAGCCAGCTATTATGTTAAACCTGGCCAATTTTGCATTTAGGCAGCATTGTGAAGTGTCATAGCATTTGATGGAATGGCAAGATTGTAAATTGCAATCTGGTCTGTGGGAAAAAATATTTTAAAAACATTAAATTTGTTTTAGTTGCTTAGCTTTCTCCCTCCCCAACCCACCACCTCAATTCTTCATATAACAAGACTTAATGAGAGGAAGATCGCAGTGCTTAAGATGTATTGTTTTCTTTCCTTTTCTTCTTCTTCTTTTTTTTCATCTATAACTGGAAAAAGAAGAGTAGCAGATTCACCTTCCAAGCTGGGGTGGATGGGAGACAGTCTTTGCATAATTCCATTGCATTACTTTAATGGTAAATATATCCTAAAAGAAGACCAGCCTTATACTGTGTTCGGCTGAAATAGCCCGTTTTGAAAATATACTGGGTGGCTCCTTTGCACTTGTGGACTATTAACAGTGGGAAGATCCATCTGCAGCTGTCAGCTCTCTGGATAGCAGTCAACAAATGCATGGCCATGAATTCTCTACATAAGTCAAAGCAATGCATATGGTACCTTACATTCAAGTGAACTGACTTCAATCTGGGCAGATCTCATATTTTATCTCTGTGCTGTTTTAGCGTCTGTCATTGTGGAGAAATTTACCATTAAGATTTAAGTCTCCGAAATCTGGTGCCTTTGGGAGTTTTGTGAAAGCTCAGTTCATAGTCATGTAAATGTGTAGTGACTTTTCAAGTTACTTTTGAGAATCTAACAATCAACATAAATTCCTTTAAATTTCAGGACTTGAAAATTCATATAATACTGTGGAATAAATGCTGTATATGCTACGTCACCAAAAAGAGAAATTTACCATTGTAAAAAGAGTAAAAAGGTTTCTTCCTCCACACTAGTGCCATTGAGACACCATCTCATTCAAATAAAAAAATGAAGTGCAAATTCACCAGTATATTCAGACTCTCTTAGATCAACAGACTTGGCCTGCCTGCAATAGCTAAGGCATACATGTGAAACTAATTTTTTCCTGTGGTTTAGTTTATTTTTCATAGAAGAAAATAAACAGATAGTGTCAAATATTGAAAGCTTTATCTGGCTAGAACAGAGGTTCTTAAACTTTTTGTTCTCAAAACTTCTTTACTGTCTTGAAAATTATTAAGGTTCTCAAAGAATTTTGGTTTATGTTTGTTATATCTATTGATTACCATATTAAAAATTAAAACTTAAAATGTTCAAAATTTTTATTTATCAATTCATTTAAGAACAAAAATAAACCTACTACAAGTTACTGTAAGCAAAATATTTTCATGAAAAATAACTATTTTTCCAAAGCAAAAAACTTCCATGGAAGGAGTGCCATTTGTTTTACCTTTTGCAAGTCTCCTTACTCTGATTTAATAGAAGATAGCTCATTTGAATATCTACTTGTGCATTCAACCTGTTGTAATATCATATGCCATATAGCTTCGGAAAATGCCGCTGTATACTCAAGGAGAAAACAGGAAAAGGAAAATGAAATGTTAGTATTTTTTGTTTCTTTTTTTTTTTTTTTTTTGAGACAGAGTCTCACACTGCCACCCTGGCTGGACTGCAATGGCGCGATCTCAGCTCACTGCAAAATCCGCCTCCTAGGTTCAAGCGATTCTCCTGCCTCAGCCTCCCGAGTAGCTGGGATTAAGACGCTCTCTACCATGCCCGGCTAATTTTTTTGTATTTTTAGTAGAGACGGGGTTTCACTGTGTTGGCCAGGCTGGTCTCAAACTCCTGACCTTGTAATCTGCCCCCCTTGGCCTCCCAATGTGCTGGGATTACAGGCGTGAGCCACTGCGCCCGGCCAAAAATAGTTTTGCATAGAGTTACTGGCTTACACTTTGAGACTTCTGAACTCAACTCTGTACAGATTTCCAAAAAGATCTGAATACCTGGATAATTTTTGAACATTAGTATTATTTTGATTAGTTGTAAACTGAGACCTAAAACAATCGTAGCACTAATCAAATACTTTCAAATATTTTATTTCTAATTAATTTATAGTTTAAATAAATTTGCATTCAAATGTCCGCTGCTACTGTCAGTTTACCTTTGCTTCTTTGCGCCTCTTCTCAGATTGCTTTCTTTTGGTTCAGGCTCTCCTTTTGTACTTTCCAGGACAACCCTGCTATTTCCATGTCCACAGGGTCTTTCACAATTAAATGCAATCAAGGTTGTGTTCCCTGTAAAACCAGGGTTCGTTTGCCTGGAAAGCAGCAAACAACTGTCCATGAGAATGCAGGTTTTAATTAGTAGGAGTATTTGATTGTTTGTTTCTGAGATGGAGTCTCACTCTGTCACCCAGGCTAGAGTGCAGTGGTGCGATTGCGATCTCAGCTCACTCCAACCTCTGCCTCCCAGGTTCAAGCAATTCTGGATTCTCGCGCCTCAGCCTCCGGAGTAGCTGGGAGTATCTCCAAAGTGGTGTCTCCCCGAGGGAAAGTGACAGTAGGGCTTCACTGGGCAATGAAGAGGGGACAGGGTGTATCATCACATGTAGAGGAGGGGTCCCAGTGGCGGGAATGCAGCGAGTCATTATGCCAGCACATAGGTCGCATGTTATGGTAATGATGCTATAGTTTCTCTCAGGGTGGAGACTTTAGCATGGTAATTAGGAAAGATCACTCAGTTTCATCTATAAAGTTCCTAGGGTCTGTCAGGAGCTGCTTCAAACTAAAAAAGTAACCACATTCCACACTGGGTTTGAGGAAGTGACCGGTGAAGCCAGCTGGACTTCCTGGGTGGAGTGGGGACTTGGAGAACTTTTCTGTCTAGCTAGAGGATTGTAAACACGCCAATCAGCGCTCTGTGTCTAGCTAAAGGATTGTAAATGCACCAATCAGCACTCTGTAAAAATGCAGCAATCAGCACTCTGTGTCTAGCTAAAGGATTATAAATGCACCAATCAGCACTCTGTGTCTAGTAAAGGATTATAAATGCAACAGTCAGCACTCTGTAAAATGGACCAATCAGCACTCTATAAAATGGACCAATCAATGCTCTGTATAATGGATCAATCAGCGCTCTGTAAAATGGACCAATCAGTTGGACATGGGTGGGGACAAATAAGAGAATAAAAGCTGGCCAACCCCCCCCTCCCCCACCAGCCAGCAGGAGCAACCTGCTCGGGTCCCATTACACGGAAGCTTTGCTCTTTCACTCTTCACAATAAATCTTGCTGCTGCTTACTCTTTGTGTCCTTGCCACTTTTAAGAGCTGTAACACTCACCGCGAAGGTCTGCAGCTTCATTCTTGAAGTCAGCAAGACCAAGAACCCACCGGAGGGAACCAATCCTGGACACAGAAGAACAGGCTGCAGGGCAGGAGGCTGTAAAAGAGGATGATTGCACAAGTTGATTAAATTCCTATAAGCCCTGGAAACACTCCCTGTATGTTTACAGTTGATGTGTTTATTATCAGCAAAATAGTTGCAGAAAGGCAAGACCCGAATCATCTTAGAGAATGATTCTCTACTTTAAATAAACGTAAGGTAAATCAGACCTAAATATTTCCACTCCAGTTACTGTTTCCCCTTCCATTTTTTTTTCAGGCTTTTATTGTTTAACAACTAATAAAAACTTTTCACATTTCACCACTCAGTTTTATCAGTGTATGTTAAAGCTTCTACCTTTCCCATTTTTCTAACTGTTGCCATTAGAGCAAGAGCAAGAGATTTGTCTGGGATTGGGGAGGTGGCGGTGAGGGGAAAGGGGTGTTGTTGAACTCAGGGAGAGTCTCACAGGGCAATAGAGGTATCATAGCCAAGGTCTTAACCCTTAACTTTGCATATCCAGAAACTTGATTCTTAGTGCTCAGGCAGAATGAGCACAAACTAATTGGAATGTTTTATTCTAACCTCCCCAAAGAGATTGGACAACAACCACAATGTCAGTGCATTACATTTTACTTGGTAATATGACTTCCAAAGAGACTTCAATAATTTCATTAACTGGTTGGTACATTTGCTCACCTTAATATAATTCATATGAGAGGGCAAAATATAATCCAAACAAAGGAAATCAGTGGGATGGTCTAAATAGACATTTTATCAGACTATTGTAATGTGATATGTCGATTGCCATTCTAAATAGCTATTTTATCTCAATATGGGGTTAAGACCAGTTTTCCCTGGATAGTGCCAGAGACGTAATCTCCTCCTTTTGGATTCACTTTCCCCCTGATTCCGTGCGAAACACCACTTAGAGTTCCTTGATTTTATAAAGTGGTTTCATGCCTCTGCACCTTTACAGATTTAGGCACTGACCCCGGATGATTTGGCCTTGTGTGGGCTCTTTTAGGTAAATTTAAGTAACCAATAAAGAAATCTGAGGTGAGTGAGACAGGAAATCGTTCTAATAATGGCTGGATGCAGGATTTCTATGCAAGGGTCTTAGAAGCTTCGATCCAAGGGATAAGTCCTTCATATCTTATTTACAGAAGGATGGGAAGTGTTTCTAACATGTTTTAGCCAATCTTGAATACATTTAATTTCACTGAGAGCCTCTCTTTCACATTCCTCATGATAAATAAAAACCACTAAATTCAATACTAAACGTAGATTTGCTGTGCTAAGCAGTAGGGCTTATAGCTTTGACCAAGTTACAGATAATGGAAGACTTAGTGGCCACCTCTGGAATGAGGCCTTTCACATGAAATGCTAACCACCACTGGAAAGAGATTTGCACCAATTCCGATTACCTCCAGAACTGAAACTTAAGCCAACTGGCAATTACTATTACTCTGTCTGTGTTCAATTATTTTAAAGTCAACTACAGACATGGCAAACTAATTTTAGTGTTACTTTCCTCTAAAAGCGTTTTCTTATCTTTCTTTTAGCTCCACCATACCCCAACCACAAAATCTGGTAGAGATATTGGTCTACTTCCTGGGAGAGAAGTCAGTATGGGCCTTTATTTGTCCTCACCATTCCTTGTGATAATTTTTCATTTGTTTGTATCTCTGTCTCTCTAGTTAGCTGTGAGTAGAGGTGATGTCTTATTCCACTTCACATTCAACGGTGAGTGGCAGGTAGCAGGGGCCCAGAAAATGTTGGATACATGAGTCAGTGAATGGATTGCCCTGGGTCTCCTCTTTTAGATTCCATGAATGCTTTTTTCCTCCTTTTGACACACTGTTTCCTCAGCTACATTAATACAATTAATTAGCTTACACCACTGTTTACTAAAATGTTTTTCTCTGCAGGATATTAATGGGCACTATGCAATAAAAGATTTTGGTACTCAAAAAGTCTGTGAAATGCTGAGTTAAGCAAAGTTTCATAAGACTCTACTGTGGACTTCTTAATTTTAATATACTAATATGCACTTTAAATATTCAAGAATTAAACTAAGATGAGCTCCTAGGGTGACATAATTGAGTACTAAAAAAACCTTAATTTAGTATTTCACACACACACACAAAGATCTTCCAAGAAATGTGTATACTGTAACATTCAGAAAGAAAGAAATCAGAGGAGGCTAGAGAGAGAATGAAAGAGAGAAAGAAAGAAAAGAGAATGTCCATAATTAAGTTTGTAAAACACTCATCAATGCAGACATATGTTCTGACCACAAACTCAAATTGTTCTGGCTTCGATGTAAACCGCGCTTATTCAACCTGTTCTTTAAATTCTTTAGTACTTTTCAGCCTCTGACCTTTTAACATTTTCCCAATTGAATGTCTCTTCTTGGGGCTCAGATTCCATTCATATCGCAAAAACTCTTGACAGTATGCTAAGTTATTGTATCGTCTGGTTCTGTTATCATACCCTTGCTATAAAATTCAATCCTGGATGAAACCAATAATGTGCTTTCACCCTTCTACCTACCCAGACTGCTTACAACTATAGTGTAAACGGCACACAGGACGCATGACTATTATTCTAAATTCATGATCACCAATAATTGGGCTTTCAACTCTGTCCAGTAATTCTACTATGTATTTCTAATCATTTCACTCTCTATTCATTTCAGTTACTATTTCAAACAAACGATTTCCATTTTTAACCTCCTATCTCCCTTATCTGTGTTCATCGCATTTATCTTGAATTTACCCATTTGTATTTAGCAGCTCTCCGTCTCCTCAACCAAAATGTGAGCTCCGTGAGGGTAGGGACCATCTATATTTTCTCTCAGCGTTTCTAACACTCAGCTTTTGCCACAATAATGCTGCAAAAACAATTAACCATAGTGAGATACAACAATAAGCATTTAGTTCTCTCATGACTGGAAGTTGGCAGGAGCAGCTCTGCTGATCTCAGTGAGGATCACTCATGGTCTGCTGGTTGTCTGGATGTTGGTGATTTAGACCAAGGGTCTGCAAACCTTTTGGTTTTAATTCAGAAAGTAAATATGTTGGGCTTTGCAGGCCATATGCAGTCTTTGCCGCATATACTTCTCTTTTTTTTAATTTTTAACAACTCTTTTAAAACACAAAAACTTAGCTTGTGAGCCATACAAAAACAATCACAAGCTGGATTTTACCCACAGCCCATAGTTGGCTATCTCCTGATCTAGCGTGTGTTGACTGGGTCCCTCTGCTTCAAGCTGTGGGTCTAATCGAGCTTGACTGTTAGATGCAGGTGAGGTTCTAGTCATTTGAGCTCTGGAGCCAGGGCAAGCTCTACTAGTGACAATATAAAAAGCAGAAGAGAGCATATGATGCTTATGTTTCTTAAGGCTTAGGTTTGGAACTGGGTCACTGACACTTCAGCCCACCTTTTGTTAGCCAAAGCAAGCCAAGTGGCTGACCCCAAAGCCTCAGTGGAGAGGTTCACTTTGCCTTTTGTAGAAAGCACAGAAAGATACATAGCAAAAAGTATGAACATAGTGAATAGTAAAGAATTGAAACCAATAATTCAATCTCCCATATCATTATATATTGGGTATTTAGACGAGCAATTAGTGCCCACTAGGCCCTTACAAATTTAACAAATGAAGGGAGGATTACTGCAATAATTACAAAATTAACAACAGGCGTGATATAGAGAACATGTACTCAGTTCCAGGAGCCATGCTAAACATTTTACATATATCATATTTTTCAATTCTTACATCCGTTTAGGATGGCTAATATTATTTTCATTTATAGATGAAAAAACTGAGTCTCATATAAGGTAAGTAACTTCCCTGGGGTCAATTAATATTAAGTTAGACCTCTTTCTTTCACTCTCCAATTTCTGGGTTCAGGTTATTCTAGCCATTGATATACTGAATTTATCATTGTTAATACAAGTCAAGTTTATCACTTCTAGCTGGCCACCATGAAATCCATCAGTATAGCTCATTACAAATGTAGGGTGGTCATCTAGTGGTGAAAGAGGAATTCTATAGGCTGTCCACTAAAGAAAAAGTCAATAAAAATGAGGAAAAAAGACTCTGGTTCAGCTTTTGTTTTCCATTATTATTGCTAGAAAAGCACTGTGGCAAAAAAAAAAAAAAAAAAAAAAAAGGAACTGCCTGGAAAATCTTTATTAGAAGAAACTCATACATGTTTAAGCACTTTTAAAGGGTGAATATTTCTGACCACCATCTGTTAATCTGTTCTGTCCTCCCTTTCCTAACATTTACACAATTTCCCATTTTTGGCTTTATTCCCATCTCTATTGGTTTTGGAATCCTAAATTAATCCTGTCAATATTGCCCTCACTGGCAGTCTAGAGTCTCCCACTTATTTGATAATCCATGGCAGTTCCTACCATACTACTCAAGGTGACAAAACGTTTTGAATAATTTCAATAAACTGTATATGAGAACACAAGTAATTCACACTAACAAGTCTTAAATTGGCCTTCTTTCCTGCTTTCTATCTTGGAATTCTTTTCTCACTAATTCCTTGTAAAATATCCTCCTGTTTTATCTCCTGATTGAGATAGATGCCATCTGATGCCACCTCTCACAGATTTTTTTCTACCTAAAAACCAGAAGAAAGTTCTTACTTCCCTATTTTTCCTTATTTTTGCTTAAATTACTTTTTTTCTTCCCTAACAGCTTATAATGTGTTCTACTTGCATCTTCTGTACACCCTCCACTTTTGATATGGTTTGGCTGTGTCCCCACCCAAATCTCACTTAGAATTGTATCTCCCAGAATTCCCAGTTGTGGGAGGGACCCAGCGGGAGGTAATTGAATCATGGGGACTGGTCTTTCCCATGCTATTCCCGTGACCGTGAATAAGGCTCGTGAGATCTGATGGGTTTATCAGAGGTTTCTGCTTTTGCTTCTTCCTCATTCTCTCTTGTTGCCACCATGTAAGAAGTACCTTTCACCCTCTGCCATGATTCTGAGACCTCCCCAGCCATGTAGAACTGTGAGTCCAATTAAATCTCTTTTTCTTCCCAGTATCAGGTATGTCTTTATCAACAGCATAAATATGGACTAATACAGTAAATTGGTACTGAGAGTAGGGTGTTGCTGAAAAGATAAATGAAAATATGGAAACAACTTTGGAACTGGGTAACAGGCAGAGGTTGGAATAGTTTGGAGGACTCAGAAGAAGACAAGAAAATGTGGGAAGGTTTGGAACTTCCTAGAGACTTGTTGAATGGCTTTGCCCAAAATGCTGATAGTGATATGAACAGTAAGTTCCAGGCTGAGGTGGTCTCAGATGGAGATGAGGAACTAGTTGGGAACTGGAGCGAAGGTGACTCTTGTTATATTTTAGCAAAGAGACAGGTGGCAATTTAGCCCCTGCCCTAGAGATTTGTGGAACTTTGAACATGAGAGCGTTGATTTAGGGTACCTGGCAGAAGAAATTTCTAAGCAGCAAAGCATTCAAAAGCTGACTTGGGTGCTGTTAAAAGTATTCCATTTTAAAAGGGAAACAGAGCATAAAAGTTCAGAAAATTTGCAATCTGAGGATGCAGTAGTAAAGAAAAGCCCATTTTTTGAGGAGAAATTCAAGCTGGCTGCAGACATTTGCTTAAGTAGCAAGGAGCATAATGTTAATCCCCAAGACCATGGGGAAGATGTCACCAGGCCACGTCAGAGACCTTCACAGCAACCCCTCCCATCACAGTCCTGGAGGCCCAGGAGGAAAAAATAGTTTTGTGGGCTTGGCCCTGGGTCCCTGCGCTGTGTGCAGCCCTGTGTCTCATCTGCTCCAGCCATGGTTGAAAGGGGCCAATGTACAGCTCAGACTGTGGCTTTAGAGGGTGGAAGCCCCAGGCATTGGCAGCTTCTACGTGGTGTTGAACCTGCAGGTGCACAGAAGTCAATAATTGAGGTTCGAGAACCTTCGCCTAGATTTCAGAAGATGAGTGGAAAAGCCTGGATGCCCAGGCAAAAGTTTGCTGCAGGGGCAGGGCCCTCATGGAGAACCTCTGCTAGGGCAGTATGGAAGGGAAATGTGGGGTTATGGGGTTGGAGCTCCCATACAGAGTCCCTACTTGGGCACTGTCTATTGGAACTGTGAGAAGAGGGCCACCATCCTCCAGACCCCATAATGGTAGCTCCACTGGCAGCTTGCATCATGCTCCTGGAAAAGCTGCAGACACTCAACACCAGCCTGTGAAAGCAGCCAGGAGGGATGTTATACCCTGCAAAGCCACAGAGGCAGAGCTGCCCAAGACCATGGAAATCCACATTTTGCATCAGTGTGACCTGGATGTGAGACCTGGGGTCAAAGGACATCATTTTGGAGCTTTAAAATTTGACTGGCTCACTGGATTTTGGACTTGCATGGGCCCTGTAGCCCCTTTGTTTTGGCCAATTGCTTCCATCTGGAACAGCTGTATTTACCCAATACCCGTACCGCCATTGTATCTAGGAAGTAACTAGCATTGCTTTTGATTTTACAGGTTCATAGGTGGAAGGGATTTGCCTTGTCTCACATGAGACTTTGGACTGTGGACTTTTGGGTTAGTGCTGAAATAAGTTAAGACTTTGGGGGACTGTTGGGAAGGCATGACTGGTTTTAAAAAGTGAGGACATGAGATTCGGAGGGGCCAGGCGTGGAATGATAAGGTTTGTCTGTGTCCCCACCCAAATCTCAACTTGAATTTATCTCCCAGAATTCCCACGTGTTGTGGGAGGGACCCAGAAGGAGGTAACTGAATCATGGCGGCCTGTCTGTCCCCTGTTTTCATGATAGTGAGTAAGTCTCATGAGATCTGATGGATTTATCAGGGGTTTCTGCTTTTGCTTCTTCCTCATACTCTCTTGTTGCCACCATGTAAGAAGTGCCTTTCATCCTGGGCCATGATTCTGATGCCTCCTCAGCCACGTGGAACTGTAAGCCCAGTTAACCCTCTTTTTCTTCCCAGTCTTGGGTATGTCTTTATCAGCAGCACGAATACGGACTAATACACCTTCCTCACATATGCTTAATTTTAGCCACGCCTCTCCAGCTCTAGAGATTTCCATCAACAATTCATTTTTCTTACATTCCATTCTCTCTCCTTTGGCTTCTTTTCTTTTGCCTATAAACATTCAGGTGTATTTTTAATCTAGAACAACATAATTCTTCACCTCATCACTCCCACAAGCTACTGACTCAGAATTTCTCAATACACTTCTCAAAGGCAGATCATTTATTTCTTATTCCTCTCTTCTTCTCCCACTCACTCTGCCCTTCCAATTTGGCTTTTGTCTCTAGCACTCTATTTTATCTGTTCTTTTGAAATTGATCAGTGACTATCCCATCACCAAGTCCAGAGACATTTTCGGAGTCCTCTACCCAGTGGCATAGATTCTAATCTGGGTCTGAAAGTCTAACAACCAGGCCTTAATATCCCAGTTCATGCCATCAAGCTGAGAGTGAATTCATCCTTCCTCCATCTTTGTTCTATTTAGGCTCTTAACTTATTGAATGATGCTCACTCACATTGGGGAGGGCCACCTGCTACAGTCAGTCCACCAATTAAAATGCTAATTTCTTCCAATATCCTCACAGATTCATCCAGAAATAATGTTCAACCAGTATGTAGACATACCCTGCTCCAGTCAAGTTGATAGTTAACATAAAGTTAGCCATCATACTAAATGTACTAAATTATCGTGAGAAGAAATATAATGAACCATAACTGAGCAAAAACAAATTAGAAATTTCCTCTCAATAAATACTTCTCAAAAAATGTTGAATCCCAGTTAATCTTTCCGGTAAATTATTTATTTTCAGAGAGCAGCAAATACTGATTTCTTTTGCAACGGTAGAGTTCAAGTATCCAAAATGACAAGGGTGGCGCACACAAAAAAGAGAAGCTGCCTATCATATGAATAGTCACACAAAGATATCTATAAAGTCTTACCAAATGTTATCCAATTATATTAGAAGGAGCCATAATTTATCATGACTGTATAGAGTTCATCCCAGAAACATAAGTTTAGATCAATATCAAGATATTTTATAAAAAGAGGTTAAATTAAATAATTATATCAATTAATTCCATATAAATATTTCATACAATTTAATTCTCATTTCTCCAAAAAGTTATATTTGTTATTTTATTTATTTATTTATTTTTGAGATGGAGTCTTGCTCTGTTGCCCAAGCTGGAGTGCTGGGGGTGATCTCTGCTCACTGCGTCCTCCGCCTCCCCAGTTCAAGCAATTCTCATGCCTCAGCCTCCCAAGTAGCTGGGATTACAGGCGCGTGACACCATGCCCGGCTAATTTTTGTATTTTTAGTAGAGATGGGGTTTCACTCCGTTGGCCAAGCTGGTCTCAAACTCCTGACCTCAGGTGATCCGCCCACCCCGGCCTCCCAAAGTGCTGGGATTACAAGCGTGAGCCACCACGCCCGGCCAAAAAGTTATTTTTGAACTGTGAATAGAAAGCATATTGGTTAAGCCCCTGACAGTGGAACACCATACACAAAAGCATGAAGCAGTACATTTGCATGTGCTTTCACTGTTATACAATGTTGTTTGGATGTTCAGGCAGCAGCATACGCCTTTCCTTCACTACTTCCTATTGGGGTGGTGGAACCGAGAGCTAGAAGACCAGGCAATCTTACTCAATTATTTCTTCCTTATTTTACGCACCAAGACCTGCTGATTCCCTCTCTCCTGATCTTCTCACTATTCACTTCTCTCTTTTGCATTCTTGTTGAACTGTTGAGACTAATTCCTCATATCTTATCTCTTTTTCTGGGTATTTTAAGTGGTCTTCTTGGTGGTGGAGCCTTATCTCCATCTAATTATTAAATTCTTCACAAATTATTTTTCTAAAATGCAAACCTGCTCATAATTTTCTTCTCATTTTAAATCTTTTTACAGCCTCACATTAAATTTTTTTTAAGATGCAATTTAAGGCAGAATAATGTAGCGCAGCCCCCACTTTCAGATCTGAAGCTGAAGCCAGGCATAATATGTAAAGCACCCAGCATAGTATAACATGGACTACATATATATGAATGATGTATAGCAGACTAGTGATATATAGAAGATGTTGCACTTACGTTAAAATCTCCTTTTAGGTAAAATGCTTCACTCAAATCCTCTGAGAGTGCAACTGACTTTATTCAGAGTCAGGCTGCGTGGAAAAACCACTTGTGTATTCCAGTTTGGATAATCAAGAAAGAGGCTTATTTGCTCTGCTAACAGAGGCTTTTCCACTCATGTGCACTTAAAGCTACAAAAGGTAGATATAACCAGAAGCAGTTCCTTCTGCTTGGATAAAAATTGGAAAAGCTCTGTGCATTGACATGCACAATCTTAGGCATTGGGGGCAATTTTTAAAAAAAGAAGTGGAAAAAGCAAGTAGCAGATGTTGGACTCGCAGTGGCATGTAGTGGAGGCAGCTGCAGGGCAACTGTTTTCTATCTGGAGAGCCCTTTGGAAGAGCTTTTGAGGTTCTTCAAATATTTGATTAGAATTTCATGGATGCCAATGCTATATGAGAAAGCTTAACATTTTAGTGTTCTGCCTAAAGTTTTATTGAAAATAAAATCCTGCTAAGGCAAACAAACAGAAAAAGTTAAAAAAAAAAAAATACCAGTGAGGTTGGGCACAGTGGCTCACACCTGTAATCCCAGCTCTTTGGGAGGCCAAGGCAGGCTGATCACCTGAGGTCAGGAGTTTGAGACCAGCCTGGCCAACGTGGCGAAACCCTGTCTCTACTAAAAATACAAAAATTAGCTGGGCATAGTAGTGCATGGCTGTAATCCCAGCTACTCATAAAGCTGAGGCAGGGAGAGTCACTTAAACCCGGGATGCAGAGGTTGCAGTGAGCTGAGATCGCCCCAGTGCACTCCAGCCTGGGCGACAGAGCAAGACTCTGTCTCAAAATAAAAAACAAAAACAACAATGAACAAACAAACAAAAACACCAGTGAAAATGGCAAATCTATGGACTTCAGAGTCTGACAGACCTGGTTTAATTCCAGGCTCCAATTGCAAGTGCCATCTTGGGCTACTTAACGTTTCATTGCCTGAATTTTCTCATCTATAAAATTGAACACTTATCCCCACTAATTTTTCCAAGTATACAGAATGCCTAGTACCTAGGAAAGGGTGCTAGTCTTTTCTCTACTCCTCAACTGTTACCATCGTAAAACATGTAAGATGTACTGGGTTATACATTCATTCAGAATATCTCTCAAAGGCAGAAGGACTAGAATTTTTTCTGTGAGGATGAACATATCAGAGTGCCTTGATACCAGTGTATAAAAATCTACCACAGGTTTATCTTAGAGATACAAGATTTAAATGCCAAAATATTTCTGTGTTTAAATCACCTGTAGTTAAATCTCAAAATTCTTTTTCTGAAAAGAATCAAGGAAAGCAACTTCCTTTTGTAAGCTTTTTGTTTAAAATTGGACTCCTAACCTTTAGGGGAGATGGTGGCCCTTAATTTATCCTGTCCTGCAGGATTTGGAGACCTCCTCAGCACTGGCAAGGTCTGTCCCCTATCCCTTTCATTATATATTCTCTTAGCTGTCTGAAAATCCTCTATGTACAATGTATGTTATTTCAGGTATGGACAATTGTCATACTTTGGATAAAATAATAAATTAATCCCAGCAGACTGTCTTCTCTTTTATAATGACATTTATAAATTGCTGCCTCGTTGCAACATTTAGAAACCCACAATGGTGCAAGCCTAGTTCTCAAGTCACTCCAAAGGTGTTTGGCCTTCTGAAACCTCCTTACTTTTCATTATGAAGCTTCTTTACTTTCCATTTTCCTTTGAGTCACAAATTTCTGCCACCCTGCTTCTGCATGAAGTGTGTGCTCTGTCTAGTGACATAGCTCTGCTAACCCTTATAAGCAGGCATTTTCAGTCTTGTGCCACCAGGCCTGCATCCTGTGCCTTCTACCGGGGAATTGCTTAGGCCAGTGAAAACTGACTTCTAAGGAAGGTTTTTTCCTTGGCTATATTTTTTTTCATGGACTCAAGAAATGAAGCTCCAGGTGATGTTTTGAAAGCTAGTACTGCTTCTCTCTTAATCTCCTTACTTTTTCAATATCTCAAAGTGTGGTCCATGAACCCCTGGAAGTCCCTGAGACCTATTTAGGAGGTCTGTGAGGTTAAAAAATATTTTCTTTATAATGTTAAGATGTGACTTATCTTTTTCACAGTGTTGACATGTGCATTGAAAGTGCAAAAGCAATGATGAGTTAAAGTGTTGACACCTTAACACAAATCAAGACAGTGGCACTAAACTGAACTGTTGAGGTAGAAATTGTGTTCTTTACCAACATGGATTCACATGAAGGAAAAAGAAAGCCAGTTCCACTTAAAAATAACCTTAATCAAGCATTAAAAATTACTGATTTTATTAAATTTCAACCCCTAATGATACACATTTTTATGATTTCGAGTGACAAATTGGGAAGTATGCATAAAGCATTTCTGTTCCATACTGAAGTATGATGGTTGTCTGTAAAGAAAACATTTGTGTGATTGAATTGCAAACTGAACTAGTAACTTTTTTCATGGAAAGTGGTATTTACCTTAAAGAACAACTGTCAGATAAACTATGGTTTTACAGATTTCAATATTTGGCAGATTTTTTTGTGAAAATGGACAAATGCGCCTGTCATTTCAAGCGGTAGAACTCAAATTTGATGCCAGTGGTCACACTTGAACTTCTAAGCAAAAGTTAGAATTTTGGAAAAGTCATGCGAACCACACTGGGCTGGACAGCTTACAAATATATGAAGATATTTTATGTGATTCTTAGCACTATTAAGAATCGTTTTATATTTTATAAAGTAGTGGGGCAGCGTGTTAACATTTGGAAAATCTGCACAGCTCAGTGAACCAATATTTTCCAAATGAGTAATACATAATTTCAAAATATCATGCCTTGGCAAAACAATTATGCCAGATAGACCAATAAATTTCAATGTAAAAAAAAACAATGAAAAGTTCACTGATAGGGTTGTAAATATTGGCACGTTCCAAATACTCTTTAAGAAACGCACTTGTAGACTTTTGTATAGTGTCAAAAAAGATCCATACCTCAAACTGTATACAAAAATTAAGTTAAAATGAATCATAGACCTAAATGTAAACCCAAAGCTATAAAACTGCTAGAACAAAACAGAGAAGAAAACTTCATGACTCTGGTTAGGCAAAGACCTCTTAAATAAGACACCAAAAGCACAATCCGTTTGTTAAAATGATACATTGGGATTTGTAAGAACTGAAACCTCTGCTTTTTTGAAACATGGGTAAGGAAATGAAAGATAAATATTTTCAAATTATATACCTGATAATGGGCTTACCATCAGACTATATCAAGTATTTTCAAAACTCAAAGGAAAAATATTCAGTTAAAAAATGAGCAAGAAAGGAGATGGAGCAAGATGGCTGAATAGAAGCCTTCACCAGTCATCCTCCCTGCAGGAACACCAAATTGAACAACTATCCACACACAAAAATTACCTTCATAAGAACCAAAATCAGGTGAGTGATCACTGTACCTGGTTTTATGCTCATATTACTGAAAAAGGCAAGGAAGAGGAAAGGAAAGACAGTCTTGAATTGCTGTCACCACCCCTCCTGCACCCCCCAGCAGCAGCTGCATAGTGTGGAGCAAGAATCTGTGTGCTTGGGGGACAGAAGGCACAGTGATTGTGAGATTTTCCATTAGAACTTGGTGCTGCCCTGTCACAGTGGAAAACAACCCTGGCCAGAACTCAGCCAGCACTCACAGAGGAAGCATTTAGACCAGCCCTCACCAGAAAGAAATTGCCCTTCCCAGACGTCAGAACCTGAATTCTGGTAAGCCTCACCAATGCAAGCTAAAGTGCTCTTGGATTCTAAATAAACTTGAAAGGCAGTGTAGGCCACAAGGACTGCAATTCCTGGGCAAGTTCTGGTGCTGTGCTTCGCTCACAGCCAGTGGATTTAGGGGTATGCAACCTAATGAGATAATAGCTGGGGCAGCCAAGGGAGTACTTGCACCACCCCTCCCACCACCTCAGGCAGTGCAGCTCACAGCTCTAGGAGAGACTCTTTCCCTCTCCTTGAGGAGAGGACAAGGAAAAGTAAAGAGGACTTTATCTTGCAACTTAGATACCACCTCAGCCACAGTAGGACAGAGCACCAGGCAGAATCCTGAGGCCCGCATTCCAGGCCGTACCTTCTAGACAACATTTCTAGACATGTACTAGGCCAGAAGGGAACCTGCTATCTTGAAGTAAAGTACTTAGTCCTGGCAGGATTCATCAGCTGCTGATTAAAGAGCCCTTGGGCCCTGAATAGTCAACAGTGGTAGCCAGGAAGTACTCACCATGGGCCTTGGGTAAGACTCAGAGACAAGCTGGCTTCAAGCATGACCTAGCATATTCCAAGCCATAGTGGCTACAGGGAGAGCAACCTTCTGCTTGAGAAAAGGGGAGGGAAGAGTGAAGGAGACTTTGTCTTGCAGCTTCCTTACCAGCTCTGTCACAGTTAGGTAGAGTACCAAGCAGGATCTTGGGGTCCCTGATTCTAGGCCTTAGCTCTTGGAAAGAATTTCTGGACCTGCTCTGCTCTGGGTCAGAGAGCATCCTACTGTCCTGAAGGGAGAGTCTCAGACCTGGTAGCATTCAGCACAAGCTGACTAAAGAGCCCTTGGGCCTTGAGTGAACATTGGCAGTAGCCAGGCAGTACTTGCTATGGGCCTGGATCTATGCCAGCCACAGAGAGAGACTCCTCTGCTTGTGGAAAAGAGAGGAAAGAGTGGGAAGGACTTCATCTTGTGGCTTGGATGCCAGTTCAGCCTCAGTAGAATAGAGCAACAGGTAGATTTCTAAGGGTTTCAACTCTGGGCCCTGCTCCTGTATGGCATCTCTGAACCTACTGGGGCCAGGGGCAACTCATCACCCTGAAGGGAAGAAAACGGCATGGCTAGTTTTGCCACCTGCTAATTATAGAACCCTAGGGCCTTGAGTGAACGTAAGTGGTAGCCAGGCAGGCCTTGGGTGAGACTCAGTGCTGTGCTGGCTTCAGGTCTGACCCAGCACAGTCCCAGTGGTGGTGGCCAGAGGGTGCTTTTGTCACCCCTCCCCCAGCTCCAGGCAGCTCAGCGCAGAAAGAGACAGAAAGAGAGATAGCAGGGTGGAGAGAGAGAGACTCTTTGTTTAGGAGAAAATAAGGGAAGAGAATAAGAGTCTGTGCCTGGTATTCTAGAGAATTATTCTAGATCTTAACTAAGACCATCAGGGCAGCATCTCTATGAGTTTGCGCAAGCCACAGCATTATTGAGCTTGGGGTACTCCCTAATGCAAATATGGCTGCAGTGATCAAAAACTTAGATTACAACACCCAAATCCCTATGAATACCTGGAAAGCCTTCCCAAGAAGGGTGAGTACAAACAAGCTCAGACTGTAAAGACCAGTAAATACCTAACTCTTCAATGCCCAGACACTGGAGAACATCCACAAGCATCATGACCATCGAGGAAAACAGAATTTCACCAAAGCACTTAAATAAGGCACCAGGGGCCAATACTGGAGAGACAGAGATATGTGACCTTTCAGGCATAATTTGAAATGGCTGTTTTGAGGAAACTCAGTGAAATGCAAGATAACACAAAGAAGGAATTAAGAATTCTATCTAACAAATTTAACAAAGACATTGAAATAATTAAAAACAATCAAGAAATTCTGCAGCTGAAAAATGCATACTGAAGAATGCATCAGAGTCTCTTAAGAGCAGAATTGATCAAGCACAAGAAATAAATAGTGAACTTGAAGACAGGCTATTTGAAAATACACAGAGCAGACAAAAGAATTAAGCCCACCCACCAGATCTAGAAAATATCCTCAAAAGTGCAAATCTAAGAGTTATTGGCCTTAAAGAGAGGTAGAGAGAGAGATAGGGGTAGAAAGTTTCCTCAAATGATAATAACAGAGAACTTCCCAAACTTAGAGAAAGACCAATATTCAAATGCACAAAGGTTGTTGAACAGCAAGCATATTTAACCCAAATAAGACTACCTTAAGACATTTAATAATCAAACTACCAAAGGTCAAGGATAAAGAAAGAACCTTAAAAGCAGCAAGAGAAAAGAAATTAATAACATACAATGGCGCTCCAATACATCTGGCAGCAGGTTTTCAGTGGAAACTTTACAGGGCAGGAGAGAGTGGCATCACATATTTAAAGTGCTGAAGGAAAAAGAAAAACTTTTATCCTAGAATAATATATTCAGCAAAAAATATCCTTCAAACACTCAACAGAAATAAAGACCTTCCTAGACAAACAAAAGCTGAGGGACTTCATCAACACCAGACCTGCCCTACAAGAAATGCTAAATGGAGTTCTGCAATATGAGAGAAAAAGACATTAGTGAGCAATAAGAAATCATCTGAAGGTGCAAGACTTGCTTGTAATAGTAAGTACACAGAAAACCAAAAACACAGAATACTGTAACAGTATACTTGTAGCATGTAAACTACCCATATCTTGAGTAGAAAGACTATAAAGTAAGCCAATTAAAAATAGTAACTACAACAACTCTTCAAGACATAGACAATACAATAAGATATAAGTAGAAACAACAAAAAATTAAAATGTGGGGAACAAATTCAAGTGTGAAGTTTTTATTCATTTTCTTTTTTGTTCATCTATTAGTTGTTAGCTTATGTAATCAATATTAAGTTGTCACCAGGTTAAAATAAAGGATTACAAGAAATCCTTTGCAAGCCTCATGGTAACTGTAAATCAAAAAACATACAACAGATGCACAAAAAATTAAAAGCAAGAAATTAAAACATACCACCAGAGAAAATTACCTTCACTAAAAGGAAGACAGGAAAGAAGGAAGATAAGACCACAAACCAACCAGAAAACAAATAACAAAATGGCAGGAGTAAGTCCTTACCTCTTATCAATAACATCGAATATAAAAGAACTAAACTCTTCAATCAAAAGATGTATAGTGGCTGAATGGATTTAAAAAACAAGACGCAGTGGTTTGTTGCCTATAGAAACACATTTTACCTATAAAGACAAATATAGACTGAAAATAAAGGGATGGAAAAAGTTATTCCATGGAAATGGAAACAAACCAAACAACTAAACAAACGAACACAAAACAAAAACAAAACAGAAATAGCTATACTTAGACGAAATAGATTTAAAAACAAAAACTATAAAAATAGACAAAGAAGGTCATTATATAATGATAAAGGAGCCAATTCAACAAGATGATATAACAGTTTAAATATATATGCACACAACACTGGAGCACCCACATATGCAAAGCAAATATTATTAGAGCTAAAGAGAGAGATAGACCCCAATGCAATAATAGCTGGAGTTTTCAGCACCCTACTTTCAGCATTAGACAGTTCATCCAGACAGAAAATCAATAAAGAAACATTGGGCCGGGCGCGGTGGCTCACGCCTGTAATCCCAGCACTTTGGGAGGCCGAGGCGGGTGGATCATGAGGTCACGAGATCGAGACCATCCTGGCTAACAAGGTGAAACCCCGTCTCTACTAAAAATACAAAAAATTAGCCAGGCGCGGTGGCGGGCGCCTGTAGTCCCAGCTACTCGGGAGGCTGAGGCAGGAGAATGGCGTGAACCCGGGAAGCGGAGCTTGCAGTGAGCCGAGATTGCGCCACTGCAGTCCGCAGTCCGGCCTGGGCAACAGAGCGAGACTCCGTCTCAAAAAAAAAAAAAAAAAAAAAAAAAGAAACATTGGACTTAATCTGAATTATAGACCAAATAAAACTAGTAGATATTTACAGAACAGTTCATCCAGTGGCTGCAGAATACATATTCTTCACCTCAGCACATGGACCATTCTCAAGGATATACCATATGTTAAGCCACAAAAAAATCTTAAAAATGTCAAAAAATATCAAATTATATCAGCTAACTTCTCTGACTACAGTAGAATAAAACTAGAAATCAACAACAAGAGAAATTTTGGAAAGGATACAAACATATGTAAATTAAACAATATGCTCCTGAGTGACCTCTGGGTCAATGAAGAAATTAAGCAGATAATTGTAAAACTTCTTGAAACAAATGACAACGGAAACACAACACACCAAAACCTGTAAAACATACCAAAAACCAGTGAAAGCAGTACTAAGAGGAAAGTTTATAGCTATACGTGCCTACATTTAAAAAGAAAATAAACTTCAAAAAGACAACCTAACAATGCATCTTAAATAAATAGAACAGAAAAGCAAACCAAACCCAAAATTGGTAACAGAAAAGAAATAATAGAGATCAGAACAGAAATAAATGAAACTGAAGAGAAGACAATAAAAAAAGTCAATGAAATGAAAAGTTGGTTTTTTTTTTGCGACGATAAACAAAATCAACAAACCTTTAGCCAGACTGAGAAGAAAGCAAGGAAGATACAAATAAATAAAACCAGAGATAAAAAAGGAGACATTACTACTAATACCAGAAAAACTCAAAGGATCATTAGGAGATCATTAGTAGCTCATTAGTAGACTCATTAGTAGCTTCTAATGATCCTTTGAATTTTTGTGATATTAGTTGTAATGTGTCCTTTTTATATGAGCAACTGTATGCCAATAACTTGCTCATATAAACTGGAATATTTAGAAGAAACAGGTTAATTCCTAGACACTTGCAACCTACCAAGATTGAACCAGGAAGAAATCCAAAACGTGCAGACCACTAACGAATGACAAGAGTGAAGCTGTAATAAAAATTCTCCCAGCAATGAAAAGCTCAGGACCTGATAGCTTCACTGCTGAATTTTACCAAACATTTAAAGAAGAACTAATATCAATGCTACTCAAAGTATTCTGAAAAAAATAGAGGAGGGGGAATTCCTCCAAACTCATTCTACAAGGCTAGTATTGTCTTGATACCAAAATCAGACATGGGCACATTAAAAAAAGAAAAGAAAAGAAAACTACAGGCCAATATGCCTGATGAATGTTTATGCAAAACTCCTCAGCAAAATACTAGGAAACCAAATTCAATAACACATTAAGCAAATCATTCATCATGATCGAGTGGGATTTATCCCAGGGATGCAAAAATGGTTTGACATATGCAAATCAATCATGTGGTACACCATATCAATAGAATGAAGGACAAAAACCACATGATTATTTCAATTGATGCTGAAAAAGCACTTGATAAAATTCAACATCCCTCTATTATAAAAACCCTAAAAAACTAGGTATAGAAGGATAATACCTCAACACACTAAAAGACATATACAAAAGGCTCACAGCTAGTATCATACTGAATGGGGAAAAACCAAAATCCCTTCTTCTAAGAACTAGAAAATAACAAGAATATCCATTCTTGCCACTATTATTCAACATAATAATGGAAGTCCTAACTAGAGAAATCAGACGAAAGAAATAAAGGTGTCCAAATTGGAAAGGAAGAAGTCAAGTTATCTTTGTTTGCATATGGTATGATCTTATAATTGGTAAAACCTAAAGACTCCACCAAAAAAAAAAAAAACATTAAAATTGATAAACACATTCAGTAATGTGGCAGGATACAAAATCAACATATAAAAATCAGTAGCATTTATATAGCCAACAACAAACAACCTGAAAAACAAATCAAAAAAGTAATCCAATTTACAGTAGCTATAAATAAAAATAAATACCTAGGAATTGACTTAACCAAAGAAATGAAAGGCTTACACAATGAAAACTATAAAATATTGCCAAAATAAATTGAAAAGAATACAAAAATCAAAAGATATTCTATGATCATGTATTGGAAAAATCAATATTATTAATTATCTATACTACATAAAGCGATCTAGAGTTTCAATGTGATCCCTTTCAAAATACCAGTGACATTCTTCACAGGAATAGAAAATACAATTCTAAACTAAGTGTCCATCAGCAGACATATGGTATATGGAACCACAATCGACCTAGAACAGCCAAAGCTATCCTGAGAAAAAGGAACAAAACTGGAAGAATCACATTATTTGATCTCAAATTATACTACAGAGCTAATAGTAACTAAAGCAGCATAGCACTGGCATGAAAACAGACACATAGACCAATGGAACAGCATAGAGAACCCAGAATCAAATCCATACATCTACAGTGAATTCATTTTCCATAAAGGTGCCAAGAACATACATTGAAGAAAGGACAGTGTCTTTGATAAATGATGCTGGGAAAACTGGATATTCATATGCAGAAGAATGAAACTAGACCCCTATCTCTCACCACATAAAAAAATCAAACCAAAATGGATTACAGTCTTAAATCTGAGATATCAAACTATGAAACTACTAAAATAAAACATTGAGGAAACTCTCTAGGACATTGGCCTAGGCAAAGATTTCTTGAGTAATACTGCAGAAGCACAGGCAACCCAAGCAAAAATGGACAAATGGGATCACATCAAGTAAAAAATCTTCTGCACTGCAAAGGAAACCATCAACAATGGGAAGAGACAACCCACAGAACAAGAGAAAACATTTGCAAACTACCCATCTGAGAAGGAATTGGTAATCAGAATATATAAGAAACTAAAAAAATTAAATAGGAAAATATCTAATAATTTGATTAAGAAATGGGCAAAAGATCTGAATAGACATTTCTCAAAAGAAGACATATAAGGCCAGGCATGGTGGCTTACATTTCTAATCCCAACACTTTGGGAGGCTGAGGCACATGGATCACCTGAGGTCAGGAGTTCGAGATCAGCCTGGCCAACATTGTGGAACCCCATCTCTACTGAAAATACAAAAAATTAGCCAGGTATGGTTGTGGGTGCCTATAAACCCAGATTCTCTGGAGGTTGAGGCAGGAGAATCGCTTGAACCGGAGAGGTGGAGGTTGCAGTGAGCCGAGATCGTGTCATTGCACTCCAGCCTGGGCAACAAGAGCGAAACTCCATCTCAGAAAAAAAAAAAAAAAAAAGACATACAAATGGTAAACAGGCATATGAAAAGGTGTTGAACATCACTGATCATCAGAGAAATGCAAATAAAAACTACAATGGGATATCATCTCCTACTTAAAATGGATTTTATCCAAAACACAGGAAATAACAAATGCTGGTGATTATGTGGAGAAAGGTGAACCCTCATACTCTATTGTTGGGAATATAAATTCATACCATCACTATGGAGAACAGTTTGGAAGTTCCTCAAAAAACTAAAAACAGAGCTACCATATGATCTAGCAATCCCACTGCTATGTATATACCCCCTCCCCTAAAGGGAATCAGCATACTGAAAAGATATCTGCACTCCCATGTTTATTACAGCACTATTTGCAATAACCAATATTTTGAAGCAACCTAAGTGTCCATCAGCAGACAAATGGGTAAAGAAAAGTGGTATTTATACACGATGGAGTACTGTTCAGCCACAAAAAAGAATAAGATCCTATCGTTGGCAAAAACATGGATAAAACTGGAGGTCATTATAATAAGTAAAATATGCAGGCACAGAAAGGCACACTTCACATGTTGTCACTTATTTGCCAATGCTAAAAATTGAAACAATTGCACTCATGGGGATAGAGAGTAGAACAATGGTTACCAGAGGCTGGGAAAGGTAGCTGGGGGGAGAGGGTTAGTGGAGGTGGTTAATAGGTACAAAAATACGGTGAGATAGAATGAATAAGATCTAGTGTTTGACAGCACAACAGGTTACTACAGTCAACAATAATTTATGGTACATTTAAAAATAACTAAAAGAGTATAATTGGATTATGTCAACATTGAGGTGATGGATTTACTCTGATGTGATTATTATGCATTGTCTGCCTACATCAAAATATCTCATGTACTCTGTAAATATATGCATCAAACATGTACTCACGAAGATTGAAAATGTTTTTAAATAATAAAAATAAATGAGCAAAACATCTGATCAGACATTTTTTCAAGGAAGAGACACCTGTGACAAATTAGCATATAAAAGATGTCCAAAATTATTAATCATTAGGGAAATATAAAAAGCATAAGTTATTATTACACACTTATTAAATTTTTTGTTCTTTTAAATGTATTACTAAAGTATAATTTACATACAGCAAAATTTACCCTTTTTAGTGAACAACTATGTGAGTTTTGACAAGCAGAGGTTTAAGTTTGGACAAAATTCAATTTATCACTTTTTAAAAGTGGGTTGTGCTTTCATTGTCTAATTATTTAAAAGATCTTTGCCTAAAGAAGAGGCATGAAGCTTTTCTCCTATGTATTCTTCCATCGGTTCTATAGCTTTAGGTTTTACATTTAAGTCTATGATTTATTTTAGCTTAATGTTTCTATTCACTTCTATCTATTGTCTTCAAGTCAATAGATAGAAGATTTCCATCGCCTGCCCCAAAATTCCCCTGTATCTCTTTGTCAAATTCCTTCTTCCATCATAGCCCCTGGAAACTATGGATCTGTGTTTTTGCCTTGTAGTTTTGCCTTTCCAGAATGTCATATAAATAGTACCACATATATAGCTAAAATGTTTAAAATAAAGAAGAAAAGACAACAGTGACAGGTACTGGTAAGTATGCAAAGCAAATGGAACTCTCATACATCAGAATGCATATTGGTACAGCCACTTTGAAACATGTTTGTTGTAGGAACAGAAAACCAAGTGCTGCCTGCTCTTACTTATAACTGAGAGCTCAACATAGAGTACACACAGACACAAAAGAACAATAGACACTGGGGCCTACTTGAGGGCGTAGGCTGGAAGGAGGGTGAGGATCAAACAACTGCCTATCGGGTACTAGGCTTATTACCTGGGTGACAAAATAATCCGCACACCAAACCCTCAGAGACACCCGATTTTCCCATGTAACAAATCTGCACAGGGGCCTTCTGAACCTAAAATAAAAGTTGGAAAGAAAAAAAAAAAACAGTTTGAGAGTTTCTTAAAAAAAAGTTCAGTACATAGCTACCATATGACCCAGCAATTCCACTCCTAGATATTTTCCTAAGTGAAATAAAAGACTATGGCCACACAAAAGTCTGTGTGTAAATATTTATAGCAGCTTTATTTGTGGTCATCAAAACTGAAACTCAAATTTCCTTTAACTGGTGAGTGGATAAATCGTGATACCTCTATACAATGGAACATTACTCAGAAATAAAAAGGGACAAACTGATATATGCAGCAACATGGATGTCTCTCAAGTGTATTATGCTGAGTGAGAGAAGCCACACTAAAAGGAGAATGGTCCCATTTATACAACTCCTCTTATATTACATTTTGGAAAAGGCAAAACTTCAAGGTAGGAAACAGATCCCTAGTTTCCAGGGACTGGGGTGAGAGGAGGAGTTCAACAAGGGGAATGGGGAATTTGGGAGAATAATGGAACTCTTCTATTAACTTGAGTACCACATGCACTTGCCAAAACACTAAAAAAGGTAAACTTTGGTAGATGTAAATTATGCCTTACTAAAGATGTTAAAAAGAACCAAAACTTTTTTTGTTAAAAAAGGAGGGGTAAAGTAGAGGTAGGATCCAAACTCCTCTTTTTTTTTGAGATGGAGTCTCGCTGTGTCTCCCAGGCTGGAGTGCAGGGTGCTATCTCGGCTCAATGCAACCTCCGCCTCCTGGGTTCAAGCGATTCTCCTCCTGAGTAGCTGGAATTACAGGCGCATGCCACCACGCCCGGCTAATTTTTGTATTTTTAGTAGAGATGGGGTTTCACCATGTTAGTCAGGCTGGTCTCGAACTCCTGACCTCGTGATCCGCCTGGTTTGGCCTCCCAAAGAGCAGGGATTACAGATGTAAGCCACTGCACCCAGCCCAAACTCCTCTTTTTTTTACAGCTGAAACTGATACCAGATAATGTAGTGTCCCTTTGTGGAGAAGTTATTGAAGTTAGAGACTGTGCCCAACAAGAGCTGGCCCCAGGCCCAGGGCCAGGTTTCCATATCTAAGCTTACTGCATGGTGAGACCAGTCTGAACAATGCTCTCTGCAGGTAGACCACAAGAGACGGGTGATGGAAGAAGCTGAGCTACAGGTATTCTGGTCCTCTCCCAAACCCTCCAATCAGGCAATTCACTCCACTTCCGTCAGAGGAGTAGTGGTGGGTTTTCAATAAATCTCTCCTTGTAGAAAACAGAAATGGGAAAGAAAATGTGTCTGCTCATATTGCCAATCAACATTTCTTTCATGAAAAATTTAAGCATATTGGAAGCTAACAAAGTGTAACTACAGGATTTTTTTTAAATTTATTTTCCAGCAAGTGCCCAATCCTCCTAAATCACCATCTCTAGAAAACTCATTTTTCTGCAAGAAATCATCAAATGAGCATGTTCCACTGCTTATACATGTTCTAAATAGATGATATAGGTTCCGCTGCAATATTCACTTGACTCTGTGTCATTTAAGTCTCCGTGACTTTTTATAGGTACAGATTTTATAGCAGCCAGGGATCATGTCTGTTTAATTATTGATGCATAGTGCCTAACATAGCATCGTGGAGATATAATCAGTTAAATATTACTTCTGATTGATATGACGATGTGTACACATCACTTTAAGTATGAATTTTTTGTAATTTAGTTTATTCATCCATCATCTCTCTGCTCTCAAGAATTTTTCTTTACTAAAATTCTCATAATTTAATGCAATTTTTATTTAAAAAATATCCATGCACAACTAGAACCTGAAAAAATTGACTGTAATAATTTTAAAATTTGAGGCCTGCGTTAACATGTTTTTCGGTAATGATCATACACTTATTCACCTAACCTATTTATGTTTTCTTTGGATTCACTATTTTTGAATTCTTGCTACCATTTTAAATGGTATATTAGGTTCTAAAATGAACCTGTAGGAGAGGTCAGTTCAATAAATGAAATTCGCTTTCAATTATATATATTAATAATTTGGTGAGCTATGGTAAATTATTTGGGAATTTGGGTCTATATATTCTTCTCAGAAAGTAAGCCCAGAGATACTCAGAGGTGCTACCAATTGGGGATTGTAATGGAGCTCTTGATTCTATTACATGCATCACAGACTTTCTGGTGTACCCCCAACTGAAAGTTCCTTTAAAATAAGCCTCAGGGACCATAGAGAGATTGATCATTTATCTGAAATAATGTTATTTCTGTGGTTTAGTCTGTTTGTGCAACCTCTGGAAAATATTTTCTATCTTATCTTATAATAAAAATGTATTGTTCACCATTGGAGGAATCTATTTTAGTGACCTATTTTGGGTATTTTCCCGTTATGGCAAATAATATACTTTTAATGTATTTTTTATAATGATGCTATTCTTTATTCATTTTTATAAGGAAGTACATAATCTAGTACATAATCATTTAAAAGCAAAAGGCAAAAGATTAGCTTATGAACCAGAAAAGTATATACTTATATAGTTACATATAGTACGCTAACATTTTATAAATCAATATGAAAGAAACAGAAATTGTGCAAAAAATATGTATGCTTTAACAGAATATAGGCCGTTTGGCAGAGTGTTTTCTTTTTACTTGTTAAAGGAGTACACTGAAGCACTAGGTTTTATTCATCATCAAGCCTCATTTTTCTGCTATTGTATGAGAATTCAATAAGTGAATTTTCCAGATAACTGAAGTATAATTTTAATATTCTTCACTGTACTTATTTACCGTTCTACCCTCAATGGGAAGTACTCTAATATTCGTTAAATATTATATGACCTTCCTAATAAAACACTTTGAACACAATATAAACTTTTCTTGATAACGTGGGGTCACTATTAAAACCATGTTACCTCAATTGTAAGACTTCTTCCTATTAGGGAACACCACTGCTACAAAAATAAGACTTCCAGGGAAAAAAATAAAGCAATATTAAATATACTAATTGACAAGATACATACATCTCAATTGCAAAACATTAAAATGTGGGCGAGAAGAAATTACATATTCAAATGTAGAAACTGTGTTGATATTAATTTTGTTTTTTTATTTTACTTTAAGTTCTGGGATACATGTGCAGAATGTGCAGGTCTGTTACATAGGTATACATGTGCCATGGTGGTTTGCTGCACCTATCAACTCGTCATCTAGGTTTTAAGCCCTGCATGCATTAGGTATTATCTTAATGCTCTCCCTCCTTTTGCCCCCCACCCCCCAACAAGCCCTGGCATATGATGTTCCCCTTCCTGTGTCCATGTGTTCTCATTATTCACCTCCCACTTATGAGTGAGAACATGCAGTGTTTGGTTTTCTGTTCTTATTAATTATTAAAATGTTCCCTCAATATGCAGCAAAATTCTTTTGCTGTTGGGTCCTCTCCTCATTGCTGGCAGACTCTGTTATCACTTTTCACCCACATCACTTCCAGTGTCAACTCCTGTCCATTCCTTTCTATTGTGCTGCTGCCCTGAGCTGCTGGCTGTGAGTTGTGGAAACCCAAAGAGCAAGCTAGTCACTAATTATGTTAAATAATGCTGAATAATGGCAGTAAGATTCTTCCCTTAGGCCCTAAGGCCGTACTTTAGTGCTGAGGTTTTGCAACAACTGCTACTGTGCTCAGAGGTGGTGCCTCACATCTAGTGTCAGGTCTGTGTTGTAATGAACCGGAATTGCCAGGAACTTGTACTTTGGATGAATGATGTGTCAAGTGCATTAAGAATCTTGAAATGCATCCTATATAGACTACTTACTAAAATTCCACAATCTTGCATTCTCATAGCTTGAAAGAAATATACAAAATGCAGATACTACCACACCCTCATTTCAGAGCTGACTTTATCAGGAAACATACTGAGATCTCAAAGACAAGGGGATGTGGCGTTGAAACGGGAACATGAGAGCCGATGGATACTGCCCTTTGCTTTGCTGTAAGGGCCAGTGGCCTTGAGGCCCCAGGCACAGTCACCCACATCTGTGGCAAGCATCATGGTGGCATTTCCAGGTGAGTAGGAGAGAGTGAGAAATAAGTCAGAGAAGAAATCCAAGTCTTAGGTGACTGTCAGTCATGAAGAGAACACTGGCAAGAGTTCTTCATAACAGGAACTCAGTTACAGGCTTCGCAGGGGTTTGAAGAAAAACGGGACCTTCTGTAAGCCCAAAGGAAGTATATGGCAACTGGCCCATGTCTTAAAGCTCCAGAGGAGCAGGCTGGAGTTCCAGCTGATAATTGGAGTGGCTGAAGGGAAACTCTGGGAAGGCCCAGATTTCAAAGTGGATCAACGGGAAATAAGTAGAGAATACAATCACTCAAGGGGTACATGATGTTTGGATTTCTCCCTTCTATGAGAGAGACACCATGTATATCAGGAACAAAGATCAACTGCAGCCATCACCAACAGGTGGGGTTTAGGAGCCCGATTTGCTTTTTGTGAGGGACCTGGTAAGTCTGAGCCTGAAGATCATGAACACATATGCCAACTTCCCTTGTGAGAAATTAGGAAATTCTAGAGAAGTCAAGAAGTGACAAACACTTCATTGTTTTGAGCATTTGTGGTGCCACGAATTGGAATGTACCATCACATGATTTAGCCAAAAGTCTGTTTAAAAGTCAACTATTTGCCACTCAAGACTCTTCTGGCCCGAGACAAGAAATTCTTGGGAGAAAGTGGACAGAAATGTACATGTGATAGACAGGAAATGAACTGATCGGAATAAGTGTGAGGAGTGGAGAAGAAAATTCTATGGAAAATGTGAAATTGTATGGGGAGAGGATGCAGAAAATATGGATTGAGAAACTGTGAGAGCCAAGCCTTCAAACCAGTATGTTCTTTTGGGGATATTTCAAAGCCTAGAGCCATTTCTACTCCCTCCCTCCCTTTGCTTCCAATGCCATTGATTTATCTGCTTGCTTTCCATTTCAATACTTGCCACTGTCCACTGCAAAAAAATAATTTTTTTGTACCTCTCTTCTGGTATCAAAGCAATTTGAAAGGGTTCTATTGTTCATATAGTTTTTGATGCTGTTGTCAAAGATATCAGTACAAATAATAGAGAGAACCAGTAAGGTAATACATATTTTCTTCTTTCCCTTCTCCCCATCATTGTATATTCCACAGTTCTTTCACATATTCTGTGAATAATATACTCTGCCAAGCTTTGAGATTTAAAAAAAGGAAACGTGGTTATAGTGTCCTCTTGGAGCTTACAGTCAGGACAGAGACATGAACAGGAAGAAAATCTTGTCCTTAGAGGGAGTGGAGCAGTAGAGAGAAGAGGAAAGAATTGAGCAGGATGTGGTCTCAGGTAGTCCTAACCACTTAAGAAATTATAGCTTAGAGTTTTAGTAACCTGCCTAAGGTCACATAGTTAATAAAGAGTAAAGTTAATGTTAGGTATTGATGAATTAAAAATTCATACACTTTCTATACCAACTTTTTTTCTGCAGAGAATAGACCTAAGAGACTCAAGATTTTATACTTACTCAACTATGTTGATGATGAAGGGCCATTCTAATGAGGATGTCCTTGACTTTAGAGTTTGAGCTAAACTTGGAGTTTGATAGAGGTTATATTCATTAGCTTTGAGGACAAAACAAAAGAAACAACAACAAAAAATACTTGAGGTTATTAGCTAGTTTTCAGAATTTTAGATAATTGTTTTTATATGATCATGTATTCATGCACATAATATTTTCTTCACTGGTATCTATTACAAGCGAGAAGATATTTCAGAGGGGGTTTACATTAATACACGGCTTGTGTCATCAGGAAATGAAAGAATTGAGGAACCCCTTAACCCTGGAAATTTACAGGCCACTATTTAAACTATAGTAGAGTCATTTTGCTTAATCTTTTGCATAATTATTTTGATTCCTAACACTTCACTGTTGAAAGGGCATAGAATGGGAAAGCTAAAGTATGCCTGGGCTATAAAGCTTTAGAAATCTCTCCTTTAGATAATTTTAAATAGATCTAATTCACCTTCTGTATTCATCCAAAGTGAATAACTGTAGAGGCAGTGAAAGTATTTATTCATCAACATTTGGACCCAAACCATGCTAACAACAAGCCGCTTCACAATACAGTCCTCTTATCATGTAGTGGTTAAGTTGACACTTGGAGCTGCTGTTGTGTAGCTATGTAAATTAGGCATGATCCTCTGCTTTGGTTTTCTTGCCTATAAAATAGGAGCATAGTATTCCGTGTAGAGTCCTTGCACAAGTGCTGGGCATGGAATATGAACTCAAAAATGCTAAGTATCATGATTGCTTTGAACTTCACGCTAGCTGTTTTTCCATTGCAGTTCAAAATGCAAGTCTCTCCAAACCTCTCTACTTTCTTAATATTCTGTCAACAAATCATTGTAATCTTCCCCCTACTAACATTCTCCCACTGTTGCCCATTGCCCCCATCCTATTCCCTTTGCTCTTTGAAACTTCGGTTTCAATTGTAAACAAACACTTGTAAACCTTTAATATTTCCCCTGACAATTTTTCTACCTCAATTTCTTGTCTTAATTGAAATTTAGATTTACTCTAATGGGAATGCTTTCTGTTCAGCCATTCAAAGGAGATGAGAGTTTTGTGTGTGTGTGTGTGTGTGTTTGTGTGCGTGTGCACCTCATGATCAAAAGACAAAATATGAATAAAGAATTGGAGAGTTTTCAGCATTCTTCTTATTCTGCATTACTCTTCTTTCACCTTACCTAAAAACTTTTTTTAAAACAATTATGTCATCTGGCTGGACCGCTATGCATATATCCTAATTCTTAGCATATTCTGGTCTTTTCCCTAAGTTCACCAATTAGTTTGAAAGGAGAAAGTGGGCAGTGGAAGCAGAAGGCACAGTCTTCCTTCTCCTCCCCTCCATAGGGCTGAGGTTTACAGTGTGTGGACCTTTAGGGATGCTGAAAGAGGAAGCGATACTTCCTTCCAAAGTGAGAAAATTGGCTGAGAAATAGGAAGAGATCAGTTCATGAATGGACTTCTTAAGCAAAGAAATTTGAACTTTATCCTAAAAGCTACAGGAACCTACTCAAGGATTTTGAGTACCAGAGAGAATAATCAGATTTGAATTTCCGATCACTGTAGCTGCATTTTGAAAGCTTTTGCTAGACATGACATAAGGCTATATCCAACCAGATTAGGTAAAGGAAGGATTTAAAACATATTATGGAAGTAGATTAACTGGGACTTGGGGAATGTTTAGGGTAATAGTGGGAGGGGAGCCTGAAGAGGCCTCCAGGCTTCTGTTTTGGCAACTAGGTAAATTTGGATACTATTCTATATTGTCATAATTAGAATTCCTAATGTATGAGGTTATCTTAAAGATTAAATGACTTAATACGTTTAAAGTCCCGTAAACCATTGCTGATATGAACTCTTTTATTTGCAGAGGCACTGACTGTAGAAATGAGTTTAAGTACAATGTGAAGGAGGAGAGGAGAGGTGACTAACGATCATTAGTTTAGTTTTAAAGTTGAGTTAGGAGTGGGTCCACTGTAGGACATCCATTTAGAGATACAGAACTCAGCACTCAACACAATACTTTAGCTTGCAGCTATGAACTGAAGGGTCTTAAGTACAGTGAAAGTCATGAATTTTAAGTCATTAAATTTATTCAAATGTAACTTCTGTAAATAGAGTGCAATGATGATCGAATCAAAAAACAAATCCCTGAGCAAGTCTGTTTTAGGAAAGAGGCAGAGACAGAGAGGGGAGCCTAGGAATGATGAAACTTGGTAGACAGAAATTCAGGGGACATCCACAGACATTAAAAGAGTTGAAAAAAGGAGGGAATGTCAGCACTGTAAAATGTTGCCAAAAGTTCATTCAATATAATAAGTGAAGTTCAATTAGAATAAGCACTGAAATATGGATTAAGTCATAAAGAGGATGTTGGTTAATGTGTCTAGGGATATTTCCATAAAGTAGTAAGAGTTGATTCCTGACTTACAGGTGTGACATCTGCAGAAATGAAGAAATGAGAGAATGAGACCTCTTTTTCCAAAGTTTGGTTGGGAGAGGAATGAGACAGAGATGAATGTACCGAGAGTGAAATGTAACCTTCTTATTAATTATCATTAGGTGGATGTACTGGAGTATACTTATATATGGAGGAGCAAGAGAGAGGACAGTGAGGGGATCCAGGCATGGAGGAGAGGAGGGAAATAACTGACTTAGCAAGGTATCTCAAAAGTGGGGCATGCTGGGATCAGAGGAAATGGGTTACATTAGACAGGAAGAATGCATCCTTCCTGTCACAGGAGGGAAGGTGGAAAGATAGGCACAGGCAGTGATAGGAAAGTGTTTCTAAGGGACAAAATTGAGGTAATTTCTCCCTGAAGGGCTCAGTGAAGTGGGAGTCAGAGTCATTTACTGAGAGACAGAGGAAAAGAGGTTGTGTTGGAAGTTTAAAGGGAAATCTAAAAGTTTGAAATAAAAGCAGAATAAAAGAGCTGTCTAGGTCTATGTAAGAAGGTGTGGGGACCACCCCAAGGCCCTACCTGAGATTAGAAATCATGAATTCCTGGTGGCTTGTTTTCACAAGGCTGGTTGTTACTCCGTAAGAATCTTCTCACTGCAAACGTCCCATGATCGTTGCTCAGATGTCTTGCCTAGATGCTGATCTCTGCACTTCTCCATTTCACCTTCAGCACTCCCTTTGACTGATCCCAGACTCACAGATCTGAACTCTTCTTCAACACTGCTTCAAAGTGGGACTCCAGACCCCTTATCTGGCCATTTTCACAGACCCTGCCTGCTCGGTCCTTGGGCTAACATTGCAGAACCTGACTTCTGATGCACCTGACATTCTGACAACTGCAGGAAAGCTTTTACTTGGTAGCCAGGCTTCCAATTTTAATCTTACTTGAAGATCTGGATTTGAAAGAACAACCGCTTTATGAGCAAGTGATTACCAAACCTGATTTGGTGGAAGCCCAGCTTGTCTCTAGATATCCTCAGGGAACTTGTTGAAATTATTTTTTGCCAAGACAATGTAAAATTCACTTTAACATATATACCTTGGGCAAAGGGATGGGAAATTAAAAACCATAGGGAACTCAGCTTCTAATAAAACTGACCCTCTTTTTGGTAATAGAACATTGTGAATTACTTATTGAGATATTCTCCACCCCTACAAATATTAAGTAGTGCAGCGATTACAGCAGAGACAGCATACTTTAAGAATGAAGATGTTACTGAGTTCTGCAGAGCTAATTACACATAAGGTCTATTTCTTAACCTGCAGTTGCCAGGGTTTGCAGCAACTAGTAAGGCCAAACTGATTTGGCAGCTGGGGCTTGGGGAGCACGGGTAGGGGATGGGAGTCTGCAGAGTTCTCCATTTAGTAGAGTGCCACATTGCCGAAGAGCGACTCTCCTCTCACATTACCTCCTGGAGGCTGGACTGGATGTTCTCCTTGAAGAGAAAAAAAAGTAAATTGGAACCCCAACAGAATTATTAAGAATGTTCAGGTTGTCTATAAGAAGGAAACACTGATGCCTTGGTCTTCATGTTGATATTTACTTAGCAGGACCTGCAGGGTCTGCCGAGGTACTGTCTGAATGTTGGGGTGGGGAACACTGGGAAGGTACTTAGGGGGCATCAGGGATTACCCCTGGGGCTCCCAGTGCTGGAGGTGGATGTGAGGTGAGTACTGCCATGTGGGCCCTGAATCAGGTCCCAGAGTGTGGATAAGATCCAGAGTTGCAGAATTGCAGTGGAAAAGAAAGGCTCACACATGAGAGGAATACTGTGTGAGAGCCCCACAGGGCCGCCAACTCTAGATGTGGCTGAGGGTCAGAAGGGACCGCCTGTGCTTAGGAAGGTTGCATGAATTACCCCAGCAGCAGAATAGCTTGAGATCTCCATCCACCCACAACTAGTCGATACATAATAAGTGAAATTAGCAGAACAGATCAATAGAGGGCACAGAAGCTTTGTGATCATCAATTATATCAACAGTGGAGATTTCTCTTGTTTTATCCATCTGTATTATTCAGGATTCTCCAGAGAAACAGAACAAATAAACCATAGGGTGTGTGTGTGTGTGTGTGTGTGTGTGTGTGTGTGTGTAAGTGTGTGTAATGTATATACAAATAAATATAAATCTATATATACATGTATATACACAGAGGTATATATGTATGTATATCTCTATATAAGAGATTTATTATAAGGAATTGCCTCGTGGTTATAGAGGCTGACAAGTCAAGACCCAGAGAGCCAATGGTAGAGTTCCAGTTCCAGTACAAATGTCCAAAGGCCTGAGAAGCAGGAGAGCTGATGGTATAAATTCCAGCCTGAGTTTAAGTCCAAAGGCAGGAGAAGACCGATGTCCCAACTTCAAGATAGTCATGAAGAGAAAGTGAATTCTCCCTTTCTCAGCCTTTTGGTTCTAATCAGGCATTCAGTGGATTGGATGAGGTCCACTCACATTGGAGAGGGCAATCTACTTTATTCAGTCTTCTGACTCAAATGTTAATCTCATCCAGAGACACTCTCACAGACACACCTACAAATCATGCCTAACCAAATATCTGGGCACTTCATGGCCAGTCAAGTTGACACATAAAATTAATCATTGCACCATCCCAATATGAGACATTTAAAAATAAACAGGATTTCTCTTTATAATTAGGTTGAAACTTTATATAGCTGTCAATGACTAAAAACGCATTTAATCAGGCCAAAATGTTAAGGGAGCCATGCAATATTTGGGACACACTTATACTAAAATATTAATATTAATATACTAATATAAAGTATTAATAAATAATATTATTTATCTGAAATCCAAATTTCAGTAGGCATCCTCTATCTTATCTGGCAAACCTACTACCTTCCCCTATACCAGAATAAGTAATAATTTCAGTTAGGAAATTGGAGAGACATAATTGATTTCATTCTTTTGACACACTATATATGAAAAATACCATTTCATTTGCTGCAATGGAAAATGCCTTGGGAATAGCAACCAGTAAAACATGTTAGTGTGTTGACATTTGAAAAGAAAGTTATAGGATTCTTTAACTCTCTACCTCTAAGCCACTCACAGAATTCCAAGGGACCTGATACCCACATTTCTAGTTCAGAGGAAAATTATAGAATTCAACTTCTGGCTTCCTCTAACCCTGAACAAATGGTTTCAGCTTGTAAAAACCATGGAGTTTTAGAGCTGTAAGTGATATTAGAGATCTTCATTTGATTAAAACCATTCTTGTACTTTTAAATGAAAAGTTACTGGTTTTAAAGAAGTGAAGTTATTTGGATGATCTTTCAGTTCTGCTGCCTGACATTCAATAAAGCAGAACATCTAAGTCTTACTATCAAACAGCTATCACTGTGCTGTCAAGTACAACTTTTTAAACCTGTCAAACAGTCATTAGTCTTCCCTTCTTAAAACATCTAACTTTGAAGCTGTCTAACCTTTTCCTGAGAAAATTCAAGCATAAGTTCATTTCAAGAAAAATTTCCTAGATGGATAATTTCTTCCTCTAAAAATACTTCTGAGAAACTACAGTTGGAACCATTTTAATTATTACATTTCTAGGAAAAACTAGTTGTGAATCTTGCTGATTAGAATGCCTCTATGTTTTTTAGTTATATCCCCCAAATAACTGTTTAAAATTGTAATTATCATCTTTCTCTCTCATAAGGGATCAAGAGCATAAAACTTGTTTGGTTTTATCATGATCCATAAAAGTGTCAGCTCTATATCACTTCATGAATTAATAAATGTCCAAAGTACCAGTAAGTTTAAAACTCATGAGACCAATGGGCTTTGTTGGCATCTTTTCACTTCATAGTTAATACCCTCATACTGTGATATATGGTTCTTGATGCAGAGGAAAAGGGAGTTAATGGTAGAACCATGCAATGGGTCTTAAAGTTTCTGCTGGATACAGCACATATCACTTCCACTTGCATGCTATTGCCCAAAGCCACAGCTAACTTCAGTAAGCTTGGAAGTACACCCCTTTCATGGGGAAAGCCACCGAGGAGGGCCCTGGATAGGTGAGCCCAATAGAGAAGTACAGTGAAGATTTTGAAAAAAAAAAAAAAATTATACTATTTCACATAGAACACTAAAGCCCATAGCACTTAAGAACCTAAACCACATGACCAACTTCACAAGTTGATTATTAACAAAGCCATGGTTGGAACATAGCCTCCTAATTATCTTTTCATAGATATTCTGTGTATTTGTACTTGGCCTCCTTTTATGGATATATGCCCATGTGTTCCTAAATGCAATGCCTTCTCAAGTTTCTATCTTAGAGCCCCTACCTCATCTTTTGTTCAGAAAGAAACTGAGTCAAATATTTCATCACTTTAAGGGTACTAATATTCCAATTCATAGACCAGTAAAGGTAATGAGGTACACAAATCTATTTTTTTTTTTTTTTGCCATACAACCTGATTTCCCACTGTAGTTTTTTCAAAAACCGAAAATATCATCACAGGGAGTGAAAACAGCCTCTTGCCAAACTGCGATCTCTTCTTGGAAAACCTAATGATTACTTCCTGTCTTTGGTGCCTCATCAAACCCTTAAAGTCCTGGAAGTTTCATCTTACTCTTTTTTTATTTCAATGTAGATAATACTGAAAAATAAAAACTCAAAAAAAAAGCAATAAGATAAACCAAGATTAAATCAGGTAAAATAGGTTGATGTATGAAAGATAATAACTGATTTTGAAATATGGAGATCCTCTGTTTAAAAAAAAATCTGTTTACAGCTAAAGTGATTGTGGATTTTGGCAAAATGTTTAATTGGAGCAAGACATCTTAGTTGCATTTAGTCTATTCCCTAAGCCTCACTATGAGATTCCACAGAAATCACCTGCTGAAAAAGAGCACACCGTGCTGAAGCTCCAAATAGAAGGTACTTTTAATCTGCGTGTGAGGGCAAAGATATAGCCGTGATCCTTGTACCCTGAGTACCCTTCAAAACTGAGCATCTCTTAAGATGGTGGATACTTCTTGGGTGAAGGCTAGAAATAAGAAAAGTTAGAGTAGTTGAAATGTCGTTTTTATAAAAGGTGCTCTTTGCTCTTCTGTGAATATCATTGAATGGCTAAGAAATGATCCACAATGCATTAAGTAACTTTCTTTTGCAGCCCAAAGGAAGCCCAGCTGTGAATAGCAGAGCACATCTACCTCTCTTGTTCTTTTAGCCGTGCATGACCAAGGGTGATGATAAATGACATCCCTGGGGTATGATGAAATGGAACAAAAGGCAATGGAATATATGAGGCCTGCTCTGTTTGTGTCAGAGGCTCTGTCTAAATCAAAAGTGGTGCAGAGCATCAAATAGCCTGTCAAGGGTCTGGCAGCATGGCTTCTCAAATCTATGCCAGTTAAGGTTTCCAGAGCTCCCAAATGGATTTCATTATCTTGGGAAAGAGGTGTGAAAGCAGAAAGTCTGGGCCACTGAGAGGGAACCATGCTACAGTGAGTAAAAGAGAATGTTAATAATCACTTCAGTGAACCAAGCAGCTGCAATATGACTGCACACCATCACTACAGTTCCGGGTGTTGTTTATGGGAAAACATAATAAATGACTGCTTATGGACACCCACAGATATATTGAACATTTTGAGGTTAACATTGGCTAAGTTCTAAATGCCATCCTTGTAAGTAGCTTTTTCAAGTGGAAACAACTATTTTTCAAGGCAAGCCATAAAAACATGTGAAACCAACAGCATATTTATATGCTCTTATAATATAGAAGCGGTCAATCTGATTGAACCTAAATTTTATTTTTACAAATAAAATGTATTTTTGAATTATGATTTATATCGTATGAAACATTTTATGTGACAGTGAGCTGGCCCAGAACCCTACTAAAAATATCTGTTTTCAGGGATTCATGTTTATAATTTATTTCTTATATTCGCTTCTTTATGCTTAGTTCTTTAAAAGAAGATAATTTGCTTTGAAAGTATTTCAGTATTGGAGGAATCCATGGGTAGCAGCAAAGAGAATCCAAAGGGTTAAATTTCTCTAACATATATTTGATATTTGGAATTTTACAATTGCAGAATACTTTGATGGATTCTGTTTTATTTGTCACAGAAAAATGTCATGTAAACCTCCTATAGATAAAAGTCAGTTATAGTTTTTTTGGAAAACAAACATTTTTATGGTTAAAAATTGCCTTAGGGTAGAAGAGTAAAAGGTATTCTCTCAGTTTTGACCAGAAAAACTTTTAATGCATAACAGCACTCTGCACTTAATAGGCCTTCTCGATTTTTTAAAAAAGAATTGATCAAGAAGACTTATCAGACAAAATGATCTAGATAAAAGATCCCAAATGCCATTACTACTGGTGTCTGAATCACAGAGTGAAAGCACTGACCTTCTGCTGCAGGTGCTATTTTTTAAGTCTCCATTGAGTTTCAGTTTGAAGGACAAAATTATCATAGAGATAGGAAGGATAATATTGTACTCATTTACACTAGAGGAAAGAGAAGAAATTTAAGTTGCTCTGATCAAGCTCTATGCATAAGGCTGTGTCAATAGACACAACATGAGGTAGATCCAGTTGAATGCTAATCCTTCCACTTTAAAAAGGTTACAAGTATGTTAGCTTCACGGCTTCCATTAAAGCCAATGGGAGTTGTACCATTACCATGCTTTGGAAAGAATGCCCTCTAATGCTATTGATTTTGATCTTTTGAACTCAAGCTCTGATACCTGTGTTCGTTGACAACTACTCTGCCTATTGCGTACACAATTCTGTGCTACTGAAGTACTGGATTAGCAAGTCAGCTCCTTTTTTCAAATTAATCAGCTTGTCTGAGACAAATGTTTTTATCTTAATACTCTTAGAAATGCCACATATCAAGCTTATTTCCCATAGTTAGAGCATATAGTTCAAAAGTGCCACTGATGGGTTTTGTGGAAGTAAATGAAAGGCCCAGCCCAGGAAGAGGAGGCCATTGTGATATGGTCAGATTTTTACTGTAGGAAGTGCATTGTGTCTGAAGAGTGCCTTATATGATTAGGAAATGTGTACCAGCAGGGCAAGACATGAAACCAAGAGACTAGTAAGAAGTCTGCTGAACATATCCAGGCTGTAGAAAATGCAAATAATGGACTAGGGTATAAACAACAAATATGTAGGAAAAATGAAGAAATTCCAGTGATTCCTGGGTTGTAGAATTTACATGAGCCAGGCTTCTTAAGCAAATGAGTGAGAAGGGTGTCATTAGCAATCATCCACTGGGAATTTGTGGGCTATATAGCAAACTGGAGAGCCTAACCAATGTCCAGTAACTTAGGTCCAACCATTTATTTCCAAGCTGTCAGTCTTTTTCTTTTCTTTTTTAAGTGTACACTTGGATATTGATGTTAATCTCCCCAATTTTTAGATATTATAATCATTGTGTAGGCATCACAGGACATATCTGAAGGCTAAATCTGTCCATTAGCTACCCTTTCGGGCTCCCTACATTTTTCCCTAGCACATGATTAGGACTCAATAAATCTAAATGTATGTTGGATGGATTAATGAATAAATTAATGAAGGGAATATAGTGGCCTTAAGGTTTTACATGGCCTCAATTGGTTTGTAATTTTAAACAGAGCTTCTATCAGTCCAGTCCATGCTTCCTACTAACTGCATTTGAGAGAAAAATTCCTATTTGTAAGTGTGAAGACTAACTCATCTTATAGCATTTTTTACATGAAAGTCCCATTTGTATTTTGTATTTAAAATTTTTTATTCGGGTTCATTTATCCAGTTTTTTATTTGGAACAAGTATAAACGATGATTATTTAACAGCTAGTTCTTTTGAAAATAACTTTCCTTTATAATCTGTTATAAATCATGTTTGGAAGGACTTTGAGAATTGAAACAAAGGCATAGGTAAAATGAGTGTCGTGCATCAGAAATAAATGCAAATTGTGGATGGGGGGACAAAAAAAGAGATGGAAAGACAAAATACTTGAAGGGGAAAGAAACGAAAAAGCTAAGGAAAAGACCAGCAACTATGAACGTGAATACTTGGTTTTATTTTACTTTTTTCTTTTGTTCTTTGTTCTACTTTTAACTTTCTACTTTGGAAACTCAGGAATTGTTGATCCAGATTTCTTTTTCTAATGTATGCATTTGAGGTCAAACAGTATACTTGTATGTTCTTCTTTACCTTTCTCACCCACATTCTGGAATGTAGAACTTTCGTTTTCCACAAGTAGCATGAGAACAAACCCCCTTGCATCCCCACTATGTCCACCATGACCTTATCTGCAATAATTGTTTGCTGCTGAAGATATTTGATCTAAAACCTGGCCACCTAAACAGAATCTCCAAATACCATCACATCTCATTAAAAGATCTCACCTAATGACAAAAAACACAGTCATAAGAGCACATGAAGATTACACAGCCTCATGCTTTGCAACCAGAATTTATAGAGCATTTATAATATGTGCTACATTATTTCACTTGCATAATTCAATTAGCACAACAAAGCTGTTAGGAGATATTATCCCCATTATACAGAAGAAGAGAAAAAAACATAAAAACAAAATGAGTAGCCCAAAGCCATACAGCTTTTATTCACAAGATCTTATAACTTCATGCATCCTAGTATTTTCCCTGTTCCCTGCTACTGAAAATGATTCTGTATGGTAACATGCCATGTCTGTTTTTAAAGTAAAATCATCAAAGTATATATATTCTCATATTTCTACTGTCATTTGAAATGGTTTTGTTGATATTCAGCTTTGATACTAATATAGTATTCCTTAAATTCCTGCATTTCTATTTTCATCATATACATTTAGTTAACAAGTTTCAGTTCTCTTTGGAAAAATAAATCAAGAATTACTTGCTTCACCTATCAGGAGCCCATGTAATTAAAATTAAGGAATTACTTCCTTAATTTAACTCTTTTTCTTTGTCTATATGTCAGTTCAAAATGATTAAAGTTACAAAATAGTAGAACATTTGATTAACTAAGCTGCCTCAGAATTTACTATTCCTCATGGAGCTGCTCCACAAATTAGAGTTTTTGCAGTTCAGTTTGCCTTCTGTTATATGTAAATAGGGTGACCATATAATTTATTACCCAAACTGATACACTGAGAGTTAAAGGGACAAGAAAGTGGGAAATAGGGCTAACCAGACTGTCCCGGGAAAACCCAGATGTGTAGTCACCCTAGATTGAAGTCACGTTAGACCAAATAAATATGGTCATTTGCCTTTACCTGAGCTGAAAAGAACTGTCAATCCAAGATAGTTCTCAGCAAGGTTGGTCTCAGGACATGAAATGTCACAAAACTGTAACTTCAAGGGGTTTTGTCATCTTCTCAAGACTGTCTCAGCTATTTGGGTTTTGCTGCCATCAGAGAACAGCAATGTCACAATTATAGCTTTGAGAGTATAAAAGGACACAGTTTTCTTTGAGAATCAAGAAGATATTAATAGCTTTCTCCCGGAGGGCTAGACAGGAGCAAAGTATTAAGCAGTGTTTCTTGAAGCTCTCATAGCGGAGGATGACTGTGTGATTGTCAACCTCTAACACATACCCACTGAGTTAGAAACTCCTGGACAAGGCCTACAAACACGAAATTTCAACCAAATCCATAAGTGAATCATATACACACTACATTTTAAATTTTACCCACTGATTTAAATTAAATAGGAATACTAAAATAATGTGATATAATTGCTAACTGCTCCCTTCCTTATTTGCTCCCTTTCCTTAGCTTATTTGCTATTTTAATAGGTGTCAAAAACATCTGCTAATTTATGTTTTATCTACATATTTGGGTTGACTTAAAGCATTTTCAGGGTTTTAAAAATTATTTCTTTCCCAGTGTCTCTGTCTCTCTCCCTCACATCTTTTCTATTCTCCTTTTACTTCTTTTTGTGTCTTCTTCCTCACCTCATCAGAATAGATGAATTTATTAGATCTTTCTCTCTATGCTTGATAATTCTTCCTCATTATCTCCACCAGAAAAAATAAAAAATGTATTTTTAATAAATATTAATATTTAATAAAATTAATAAAATGGAAAATGGAAAAGTGACAATACAAAATCCGTTCCCTCAATTAAAAGGTACTTCTCTAGCATTTTACCTATTTGAGTGGAGCAATGAAATCCACGCTCCCAGTTACTTTATTCTTTGCATGTAATGCTGTAGGAAATCTGTTGGTTACAGATTTGTAAGCTCTAGGCTCAGTGGCCTTACCACCTGGCTTTGACATTATTCCCTACAACAAAGCATCGTAAGACTTGAGGGCAAGATCTCTGCTGATTCATTGCTCCATCCCAAATAGCTCCTGGCAGAATGTCTTGTACAGGAAAGACACCCATTAATATTTGTCAAATAAATGAACAGAGGAAAAGAAAAACCCGGGCTTCCTCTAAACTTGTCACACTAAGCTCATGATTGAATCAAACACATAAAGAAACCCTTTCATGATATAAATGAGAATACTAACCCCTGCTCTGTGTGGCTTTGTAACAATATTTTTAACAACTAAGTTCAATCTTTTGTCAGTGTTATGACTCTGAAAATTAAAGAAAATGTTTTGTAGAAACAAATAATTAGAAATATTGCCAGGAAACTTCTGTACTGGTTGTTGTTACTTTTATTCGCTGGGTCTGTGAGAAGGTTGGTGGTATAGAGAGAGTTGTAAGAGGCATGATTAACAAGGGCTTATTGAGCCCTTACTGTTTGCATAGGCACTATTTTCAAACGGTGTAGCAAATATAAAAGATACAAAGTATATGACATTTTCTTCCTCTGTAGCATGCAAGCTTGGTGGAAGACAAGATTCGGAGCACAATTAGAGAACAATATGAGACTATGTACAATGAAGTGGTAAATTGAATATAATTAAGCACATTTTCCATAATTCCAAACTGAAAAAGTCAGAGGGGAAAAGACCGATGTTGGTTGCCAGTATAATAAAATATGTCAAAATTAACAGAAGATGGAATACATAGAATTTCAAATTCTATTGTGATGAATATTATGGGGTATCTCCGCAGTATATGTTTACTTCAAGTTTTCCTACATAAAATAATGAGAAAATGTAATTTTATGTCAGAATTTCCCATCGTAGATGATCTTGAAGAACTCTCATTTTATAAATTTAGGACAGGCTGCCATGGCTACCTAAAAGGAGGACAAAACTTTGTATTATGCAAAATAATTTCCTTTAAAGATATCTGTGTTTGCTGACAATGTTTGTACTGTATCTGTCCCTTCAGTTTACAGATATTAGGGAGCAGGGGGACAGTCTTTTTAGTGGAATTACTATAGCAGAGAGCGCAAGGCCACCTGTGCCTCCAATGGTTTTGTTTCTGTGCAATGTTCTTAAAGTTGACATATTTTCCTCAGTTTAACTCCTTTGGGATATAAAGGCATTTGAAAGATAAGGGTTTGGACTTTAGGAAAGACTTTAAAAGTAAAGATCTGAAGTTGAGGTTGGTGCCATTTTTTGTCACTTACACTTTATATGAATTTTAAATTTCAATTTGGCCTCATTTTAAATCCTCTCAAAGTGATAGTACCTCTCCTCACCTCTCACAATTCTGTATTCATAAATATTCTATTATTTCTTGGAAATATCTTGATCTCAGAGAAAAAAAAAATAGCATCCCAGGGCTGACTTTTCTCAGGAGACTTCTCCTTTTTTTTGCTTTTTTCAAATTTCATGTCAACCACATTTTTTTCCCAAAGGAGAATGTCTTTTTACAGAGAGAAAGAGTAGAAGTGAATGGTTGAATAAGTTTACAATCACACCTCTATCTGCTCATTGCACTTATTTAGTAATATCTCAGTGCTATAGTCTTTAATAGTATATATATTTTTAAAATACAATTGGTAAAGGAGTTTTGCTTTGAAGTATTAAAAACATCACAACATTTATCTGCAACTTCTTTTATTGTACATCCATTAGAAATATCCAAATGAAAGATAATTTTTAATTGAAGAAAATTACAATTTCACAATTTCTAGTATTTAATGTAAGTGATAAATGGAGAATAATAATAATAGAAATGATATATGCATTAAAAATACTTTATTGATGAAATCACTGCAATTAGGAAAAGTAAAAGGAAAGAGAACAGGATGACAGTCTATCTTCATTAAGTAGCATCTATACTGATGCATCGGTTTAGTAAATGAGTGAACTTGTCATCTGGATCACTCTGTTCACATCATCAGCCCATTCTTGCTCCTTCCAAAGAAGGGGTTAGAATCCATGTTTATAATTTTGAATTAAATTTCAAGAAAGGACCACAATTAAACAGAACAACAGTTGGTTCACATAAATAGGAGATTAATAACTTTCTAAGCAGATGGCTCAGTAAGGTCATTCATCAATGTGAGTAAAGATGAACTGTCAGCAATGAAGAGAATTGAAAATATGGAGTGGATAGTTTAGTTTGTTGGACATGGAGTTGTTGCTGGAAAACAAATTCAAGGAAATCTAGAAGGAGAAATAAACTTGGAATGCTATAAATACCTATTGTCAAACTTAGAATTTATACTGGTTTTGGAATAATTTAATCAGTCTCTGTAAAGACACTAGACTTCAAAGCTCATTTTAAATACTAATAAAGTGTGATTTAACTATATATTATTTAAAGAAATATTTTAGACAAATTAAATTTAGTGAGAGTTTATTTGAGCAATAAACTCTTCATGGATTGGGCAGCATCAGAACCAGAAGAGGTTCAGAGAGCTCCACCCAGAAGTGTGAGCAGTGAGCTTTAACAGGCCAAACATAGAAGCAAAGCAGGAAAGTAATCTGATTGGCTACAGCTAGGTGTCTGCCTTATTTGGGCATGATACAATGAGTTGTTTGCCTGCTATTGGGGCTGTTCACTCCTAAATTAGATTTCAATTTGTTTACCTACTGTTAGGTTGCAGTTCATTGTGTCAAAACTCAAAATATAGAGATAGTCTCAAGCTAATGGCCTATTGCTTATTTAACAATATCTATGATATTCACCTTATCATTGCCCCTACTGTATTGCAAAACTTATCCATCTTCGTTATACACACACACAAACATATATATATGTGTGTGTTTATATATGAATATATATGCATATATATAAACTGTTCACAACTTACAATGGTTCAACCTATGATTTTTTACCTTTACAATGGTACAAAAATGATATGTATTCAGTAGAAACTGTACTTTGAATACCCATACAACCATTCTATCTTTCACTTTCAATATAGTATTCCGTAAATTATATAAGACATTTCTTTATTACAATATAGGCTTTTTGTTAGATGATTTTGCCCAACTGTAGGTGAATGTAAGTGTTCTGAGCATGTTTAAGGTAGGCTACGCTAAGCTATGATGTTAGGTATGTTAGGTATATCGAATGCATTTTCAACTTAAATACTTTCAACTTATGATAGGTTTATTGAGCTATAACCCCATCATAAGTTGAAAAGTGTCTGTACAAAGATAGATTTATTGATAGATACATATATCTTGCTCACAAACCGAAGCCAAAAAGAACTAGCAGTGATGACATCCATGTTTTCATACCAAATGAACCAAACTTTTTGGCTTTACCATTGTCTCTTACCCATGTTGTTTGTTTTTCTTCTACCATTAATCTGTATGCTCTTTTAGGGTAAAGAATACTTTTTACTCATGGTGACTCCCTCTGCCTCCAGCACTTTCCATGTTATCAATGCAGACCGGGCACTCCATAAGTGTTTCATAAATTGAACTGAATTGTCTTCCTTATCATCCCCTTCAACAAGATAGAGGTAGTAAATGGCAATATATTTGGAGGGAGGGAGGTATAACTATCTAAAGCCTCAAAAGCAACAAAGGACAATAATTCAAATATCTGCTAGATCAGGCTACATGGTCATGAGGTGGGACACTGGTGAAGTGAAGGGAGTGTGCCCTCCCTACAGCAGTGCTGTGGCCACTCAAATCCAATAATTTCCTGCAGAACATGAGCCAAATCTCTATCTTGTCAAATCTTCCAAGTTTTAAGAAGCTAGAAACTCAAATATTGATGTGGAAACTTCTGATTTTATAATGCTGGCAAACGATTGGAAGTATTTTTTTAAACACTGCACCTGACAAATAAAATATTTCTGTGGGTCACATCCCTGGAGCTCACAATTTTCGACCTCACTCGGGGCAACAGAAAAGCTGACCAAGAAGGTCAAGATGTTAATTAGGCAGCTCTGTTGACCACAGGCAGATGCCTGTGGACTATAATTCTCCACCTCAATGTCACTTGGCTACAGGGTGGTAGTGTTAATGACATTCGAGGTAGGCAATATATGTATCCATGAAGGTTTGTCAATCTGCGGTGTATACACATAATGGCTGAAAATCAGCTGTCTCTTATTTGTTGCGGTTTGTTTGGTGAGACTCTGTGGGAGTATTTGTGGCTTAAGAGCTTGGAAACCTCAGTGTCCATGAACATAGGAATTGTTCAGGGAGGAGATGTAACAGGTGAGGCAAGAAACCAGAATGCCACCTTTAATTTCAGTTGTTGTCTGGAATGCAAACAATGCTCCTAGTTACCTGACCAATATTTCCCCTCAATGTAAATGATTTGGTGAAAAATGATACTCTTTCTCACAGCCCCAAGAGGAGGTTAAAATCCTCTTACAGCCTTATTTGAAAAGTAAAATTTCAAAAGAAAAGGAAAGAAAGACAGCCAAAGCAATCATTATAAAGCTTGAGGCTAAAGTCAGTTTTACTTTATTTTTTCATCACTCACCCTGGAATTGTTTGATAGGATGGTTTGAAAGAATTCGGGATGAAGTGTAGCATCTCCAAATGTTAGAAAATGTATACTAGAATATTTATAAATCTTGTTCCATTTTACGCACCCTAGATGTCACGATATATGGGAAATTTAAAAAAGTATCAGAAAAACTCGGCATGGGGGATGAGAGTAACGAGTGAAGATGATGAACATGTGTCTGATCGATGTGTCTCCCACTCTGTCCTCCACCTGCCTCTCACCTCCTCCCCTGCCTCTCCCACTAGCTTGCCCCCCTCCGGAAGCCCCACACATTTTTTTTTCACTTTTACATGAACGCAACATGCCACTTTTGAACTCACAGACTTCACATCTACCTGGAAATTCTGTTCTTTTTCTTTCAAAATTCATCTCCAAAAGGTACCGTAAATAGACAGAGTGGGGTAGTGATAGAGAGCTACGACGCCGGGGCCAGACTGCCTGAATTTGCTCTCTATTGTCATCTCTTTTCTAGCTGTGTAAGCTTGTGTCTCCTTTCCTTTGTCTTTGCAATAGAGACAATAATAGTAATCTACCTTAAAAACGAGGTTTGATGTTTAAATGAATTAGTAAATATACAGTTCATTGGAGAGTTGTAACTATATAGTAAACACAGTGTAGTGTTAATTATTTTATTATCACTCACGACCTCCTCCTCTGTGAAGTCATACCTGAGCTGGAGGCTAAAGAAGTGTCATGGCACCTTCAAGCACCTACTCTGTAAAACATTCTGCTACATTTGACTTTTATTCACAAATGCTTATGACAATGTATTATAATTATTGATTGATAGGATATGTAATATTGTATCTACTTACATATACATCTAAGCTGTAGGCTACTCAGGGGCACAAACAAGATCACATTATTTTGATTATATGGTATTATCTAGAACTTATCCCAGTACTTAACACATAACCGTCAGTCAAAATATGTCAATTTCCTGAATGAATAAGGATGTGCATGGGAGTTTATCCTAGTACTATTTCATGACTTGTATCTGGATTAAATATGCATTGGAAAAAGTACTGTATTTTTGTGCTTTTGACTTAATATTTGTCATAGCAAAGGGAGAACTAATATCTTTTTCAGAGTGATACTGTCTATGCTGGTTAATATATTAATTTATGCTACCACTTCTCTCTGCTTACATTAGTAAAGCCTGACTCTCTCAATTTTAAATACAGAATTATCATACACTTTGCTAGACACGCTTCATATTTCTGGGTTTGACACTAGTTTTCTGGAGTACAAGAGTGTCATTATGTCCTTATGTCTCAAATGCAATCTTGCCCCATCTGGATTCATGTTAGAAGAGGAAGCAGATAACAACTTTTCCTACTTCACACCTGTGAGATCAGTAAATTTGACCACAGATTAGAAATTTTAAAATGAATAAAATTTTAAGTGGCACTTCTGATGCAGTGTATTTTATGACTTTTTTTTAAAGAAATGTACTTGACCACCAATATATTATTTATAATTCAAAAAATCTGACTCAGAACAAGTTCTATTGTAACCTTATGCATCATCATTATCCTATTCTAGTAAGTATAAGGGATAGAATTTCCTTACCGCTACTGAATGCTTGACTTCAATCTAAAACACTCTTAATTTGCATTAAATTAAAGGCCACTTAGAAAAATTTAGAGAACACTTTTTTGTGTGTGCAGAAAACATTAATCAAGCAGTTTTCCTCTGACTTTTTTAACTGGAAATAGCTCATTTAAATATTATCCAAACTCTACTTCTTTTAAAATAATTTTTTCTTAGTATTTTATTACTGGTATTAGTGTAGTCATCTTCTTTAGTGATGTTAAAGCATCAGGGTTAAAGGGCTAGAAATTTAGCTTAAGACATAAATTAAAGGTGTGGGAATTATTTACTTTGGAGAAGAAAGAGATTAAGAAAATAAATGTTATTAAAACAAAATAAAAGGTAAACGCCATTTTATTTTGTTTGTTTGTTTGTTTGTTTATATTACTTTAAGTTCTGGGATACGTGTGTAGAATGTGCAGGTTTGTTACATAGGTATACATGTGCCATGGTGGTTTGCTGTACCTGTCAACCCATCATCTAAGTTTTAAGCCCTGCATGCATTAAGTATTTGTCCTAATGCTCTCCCTTCGCTTGCCCCCACCTCCCGACAGGCCCTGGTGTGTAATGTTCCCCTCCCTCTGTCCATGTGTTCTCGTTGCTCAACTCCCACTTATGAGTGAAAACATGCAGTGTTTGGTTTTCTGTTCCTGTGGTAAACACCACTTTAAATTATAGACAGATTTGGTGGATTAGAATAAAATAGTTGTTACTGTGTGTGTGTGTTTGTGTAAGAAAAGAGGTAAGTGTTTACTAGAAGATATTAGATGATCCCCTAGATGTTTATAATATAAGGAGTCTTTGCTAAGATCGCTTAAGTGTGACTCCGCCTTGAGGTATACATGTCGGCTAGACCAGACCTGCCACTAGGACTCAAGCTGGGGAGAATTTTGAGCACTTTGTTGTCAGCACCATTTAGAAGACAATTTTTTTTATCAGCTTTATATTCTACAATATGTGTAGACATCACTGAATTTCAATCTCATTTGCAGCTGAATAAACAAACGGTAGGTATTTCCAGTTTTTTTTAAGCCCTCTTACTTAGAATTACCACTCATTCTCATATACTAAGATTATATCATTTATGTTTTTAAATAAATATCCAACCCCTCCCCAGACTATATAGGTATTTTGGGCTGATTATATAATATTATATAATATATGCTGAGTTTTTATTTGAATCACTCTATGTTTTTGGAATAGAAAAAAATCTTAAATACAGGAACAGAGTTTTTATGTGAAAACTGCTAGGGGGAAAAAAAAATAAAAACTGCTAGGGGGAAAAAAAGCAAAAACAGTTGCTTTGCATTAATAAAAACATAAAGCCTCCTTTTTTATTATTTGTGATACAGCACCAATTTATCTTACATAAATTAAACTCATATAACTAATAGTAATATAGGCTAGCTTGCATTAATTTTTTATATGCATTGCACTATGGTAGAAGTATTTAAAAAAGAGAAATATTCAAAGATGGAGTTACTAGCCTGAAGAATACAGGGGAACTCTATGTGGAGATCTAATTCTTGAAGTCTTATACCTGTAAGGTGGCAGAAAATAGGGGAGGCTGAAAGTCAGTGAACCCCAACTTCAGTTTCCACAATGTACAACTTACATATTGTATGGCTCAAAAATCTCTGGAGCAGCACTTTCTTTGCCTATAAAATGAAACTATTGAATCAAATGATCCCTAAGGTCACTTCTAAGCTTTATGAATATATAGATTAAAACTTAGAAATAAGAATCCTAGGAAAGATATAATCACAATACCCAAAACTAAGTAGAAATCTTAAAGAGCAAATAGTTTCAAATCATTTCCAACTATGTATCCTTATATGATATATGATGATTACTGATGTGGTTATTATCTATTATTTGCATGAGAGAGTTTGGAGGAACATCTGACATTGGGGAACACCAACTCTGAAAATAAGGGAAATAAGATAGTCTTTTGGGAATTACACTGTTAAACTGACATGCTCAAGAGCCAAGAAATACAAAGTCAACTAAAAGAGAGCAAGTGACTCTCATGCCAGCAGGACTAGAATGTCACTTTTTGAATGTTTCAATATACCCAAAGCATGAACGTGTTGAACAGTAGTGGAATTAATCAGCCTTGGAAGAATAGAAAAAGAAGAGTTTGTGCACAAATGATAGCAGAGCTCTTGCAAGCAGAGTCCAATGGGAAGTGAGGCTGAGTGATTTAGGTATTTCCATATCAATAGCAAGACCACTGTGAGCTGAATACATCAGGTTATCTTACCCTGATGCTATTAGACAGTCCATTCATTCAACTCCCCTTGTTCTGACTTCCTGCTCACCAAGCTACCTTCCGACCATAATCTAGCCTTTCATGCATGTCTTCCTACTGAGAGAAAGTACACTGAGGATATCCACTTTGAATAAATATCTCCTGTTCCTAAAGCAGTGATTTTTTGTGGAGAATCAATATGGGTTTCTGATTATGATTTGGCTTCCCATGTGCTGGATCACAGGGAAGAGATTGTGCCAGTGTGACTATTCTAATCTAGATATTGTTTCTTATGGTAAATTAATAAATACATGCCCTAGTCTCATATGCCATTTAGAACATAAATCAGCACTTAGGGCAGGAAAAAGCCATGGATGCCAAGAAATGTCTGGTCCTTCAAAGCAGAGGGTCAAATTTACAGATGGGGCAGTTAATAAAAGCGCTACCTAGTGAGTTCTTACCTTCATCAAGCTAACCTTTCCTTACATGACACTCTATTCCTCAACCTATAATAAATATTCAATTTCTTTTTTTCATTCCCACATGAATGCAAGATTCAGAAAGGCAAAGGCTTGGTTGCCTTCATCACTCTTTGTCTAGTGCTTAGTACCCTGCCTGAAACCTAGAAGATGCCATTAAATATATGTGGAATAATGAAGCTTATTCACACTAGCTACCATTTCAGTCTTTCAACTTCATTGCTATAGTAATTTTAAGCAAGTAACCACAATTCACATTCCAGTAAAATGATCAGGTCATTTCAGCCTGAGTACCTTAATTCTCAAATCCTACACCTCAAGAATTCATTGAATTATGATTTTCCCTACCAAATTTTTTCTCCTCTCTTATTTTTAAAAATGAATCATCTGACTGGGCACGGTGGCTCATGCCTGTAATCCCAGCACTTTGGGAGGCCAAGAAGGGTGGATAACTTGAGGTCAGGAGTTCGAGACCAGCCTGGCCAACATGGTGAAGCCCCATCTCTACTAAAAATACAAAAATTAGCCTGGCGTGGTGGCACGTGCCTGTAATCCTAGCTACTGGGGTGGCTGAGGCACGAGAATTGCTTGAACCTGGGAGATGGAGGTTGCAGTGAGGCGAGATGGTGCCACTGCACTCCAGCCTGGGCAACAGAGCGAGACTCTGTCTCGAAAAAAATTAATCATCCACCCATATCCTTTGTCATATCTCTATTTTTCCTTAGTCAACCATTTTTCTTTATATCTTAAATCTCTTAGTCTCTATAGAACTTTCTCCTTAGTTTACATGCTCAAGTATCTTGTAAACTCACAAAATAATTCCCTGCATGTGAATATTATTTTAATCCCTTCTCTCTTTTCCAAAGCCTTCAATCTCTGAAACACAGCTCTTCCCCAAGGCTGGATGGTTGTCTTTATTCACTCCTCACTCTACTCTTTCCTTTAATGAAGATGTTGGTCCCAAAGACCCCCCCAATTTCTTCTCTGGCCCCTCCATTCCTCCTGAAGTCAGATTTGCATTTCTAACAGCCTCCTGAAAATCTGAGAGTATGTCACAGAGATATAGCTCAGAACCTCACATATAGCGTGTCCACAGCTGCCTTCTTTCAAAAACTGCTCTTCGTTTCATTCCCTAATTTGGTAAAGAATAACATCATTTTATCATTTGCTTAGTTTAGAAAATGTGAAGATTTTCCCTTTTTACAAAGCACCTTGAAGTCAGGGCCTCTATCACACTCACAGTTGTTTACGGTGCTGAACAGTGTCTTCGGTCCATCTTCAATTGATTGAATTGATTAAAAGAATTGTTTTAAAATTCCATTTCATTTATCTGTTGGATTTCTGCCTTCTACTCCTTCGCACTAATTTCTATACTTGTTTCTGCCTATATATGTATTTGTTACTTTTCACAGTCTGTCATGTATCACGTCACATAAAACGTTATCTTACATCCATAAAGATCCATTGCCCATATATCCCCCTTTATAAAATAGATACCATGTGTATTTTAGTTACACATGTTACAAGCCTCAAAACACAATTTTAAAATTTGACTTAAAAATCATAAACTATTTAGAAAAATTTCAGCTACTGAGCAAAGCGCAATATTTGATTTGTAGTTTGATGCCAACAAAGTTAATTGTGTACTAAAACTAACAAGCAAATTTAAAAAATACTCTTCAGAATACGATAACAGAATCCTGAGTCTCTACAATATAAAAATGACAATATCAAGGTAAAGTCCTTAATAAATGCACATACAAAGATTTCGGAAAATATGACTCATTCTTAACAGAAAAACAAGCAACCAAAATCAGTCCTGTAGTAACTCACATTTTGGAACTAGCATACAGGATTTTAAAGCAGTTCTTATAAACATGCTTAATGATGGGAATGAAAATATGCTCAGAATAAAATAAAAGATATAAAATTTTAGCCATTATTTCTTCAAATATTTTTTCTGACCCTTTCTGTCTTTCCTCTTCTTTTGGGATTGCAATTACATAGATATTACACCTTTTGATATTGTCCTACAGATTCCTGAAATAATGGTCATTTTTATATTTTAATTATTTCTGTTCAGATTGAATGCTTTGCATTAGTCTCTTTTCATGTTCAATGACTTGTTTCTCTGCCATCTTCAATCTGCTATTGTGTTCAGTAATTTTTTTTGGATATTACGGTTGTAGTTCCAGAATTTTAATTTCTCTTATAGTTTCTACTACTCTGCTAAAATTTTCTAAATATGCCACATACACAGTAGCTCAAATCCCCATTTGTTTTTTTAATTCTTAATTCTGCTGCTTAGAGTTTTTTCTGTGCATGTGGGTATAATTTGGGGATATTTCTCTATAGCTGTCTCCTTTTTCTTTTGTATTCTTCCCTTACTTCTCAACACCTGTAGTTTCCCCAAACTCTATCCTCTTCTTCTGGCTGGAAACTCTGCATGTTTTATACACTACATGCAGCATTCCCTTCTTGTAAGTGTCATCTCCTCCACTTTCTGCCTGTGTTTGTTCCCTGTTCAATGCCTTCAGGCTTTTTGCATTTCACCTAAAGTTTATAGTTGTTATTTGCAGGAAGTGTTGGTCTGGCAGTAGCTCACTTGGCCATATGAGAAGCTGAAATCTATTGATAATTTTTTAATTTAAAGTATTTTATACTACTTTTGTTTTGTTCTTATTATTTTTTTCTTTTTTCTTTTTCTTTTCTTTCTTTTTTTTTTTTTTTTTTTTTTTTTTTTTTTTTTTTTTTTTTTTTTTTTTTTTTGTGAGCTCTGTCACCCACCCTGGAGTGCAGTGGTGCGATCTCGGCTCACTGAAAGCTCCGCCTCCCAGGTTCACGCCATTCTCCTGCCTCAGCCTCCCGAGTAGCTGGGACTACAGCCGCCCGCCACCACGCCCGGCTAATTTTTTGTATTTTTAGTAGAGACGGGGTTTCACCCTGTTAGCCAGGATGGTCTTGATCTCCTGACCTCGTGATCTACCCGCCTCGGCCTCCCAAATGTTCTTATTATTTCTATAATATATTCTCTGCTGCCATCTTTCTGGGTAAAACTTTTCTTACTCCATGTTGAAATTTATTGAAGCCCCTTGCTTGCCATCCCGCATAGCACTGATAGTGCTATGCATACATAGCTCTGTATCTTGACATATGCGTGGTTATCCTATTTCCTAAAGATTGTATAAAAGAATGACTCCAGTCATGATATGCCCTTCCTCAGAAGTGTTCAACAGCTCTCTGCTTCCTAAACAATAAAGTCCCAGAAATGTGTTATAATGGAAGAAGACAGCCTTTGGAGCCAGGTTAGTTTGAGTTCAAGATCTGTCACTGACCAGCTTTATAAACTTAGGCAAGATGTTTATCTGAATATTAGTTTTATTATTTGTTAAATAGGGAGAATAATATCTGTCTCAAAGAATCATTGTAAGAATTGATAGATAAGTTACAAATAGTTGCTCTTTTAGGGCTTAGTACTTAGTGCTCAGCAACTGGTAGCTGTTTTAAAATAAGGGACATAAAAACAACAGCTCTTTCTCCGAGATTCAAAGTCTTCCTTCATCTGGTTCCAAATCAGTTTTCTATCTATTCTCGCATTTTTCTTATTCATCAACACCATTCAAATCACACTGTTCTCTAAAACCCATGCATGTCTCATGCTTGCCCATGACAATGGCCTTGCTCAAATCATTCTTTCTTTTTCTTGTTTCTGCTTGATGAATTTCTAAATATTCCTCAAGGACCAGCTTAAATAGCATATCCACAAAGAATCCTTCTATGATCTTCCTTCCTTGTAAAATTCTTTAGCAAAGTTTTACCTGTTTATGCATCTATCAGGTTCCAGCTCATATTATGGTATTTCCTAGGCATACATTAGCTGCCTTATTTGCTGAATTATCAGCTCCTTCAGTGCAAGGACTCACTCATATCCAATATGCTTGCTGTATGAATGGACAAATACACTGCTTATAAAAATCGTGACTGGGATTATGAATTCTAAAACCTTACTGTGGTCAGACAAATAGTTACTACCATAGCTCTCTATGATTTGAGTATTACGTATTAGAAGCATTGTATAGAGGTAACATATTAATTAAAATTAGTTTGATAAAATATTATTTTTTTCATTTTTATAACTAGGAATAATTCAAATAACCAGTTGAATCTAGACCGTCAAAGATAGAATTCTAAGGGATACCTGGGCTTGCTTAAGGAACAGTTTAATTTAGACAGCTTTGGAGTGAGAAAGGCAGGTGAAGCAATTGTTTTTTGCAGTTGCACAAATGAATACAAAAGCGATATTTTATTCAAAAATAAACGCTCTGTTTAATACAATGCAATTTCTGTGCAAATTTATAATAGCAATAGCAACTGTTCTAAAATCACTAATTCTATAATAATTTTTAGTTAACCACTCTGGTAGTAAGCTTATTTATACCTTATTTTGAATTACTTGAATAAAGAACAAATTCTGGCTGGGCGTGGTGGCTCACACCTGTAATCCCAGCACTTTGGGAGGCTGAGCCGGGTGGATCACCTGAGGTCAGGAGTTCAAGACCAGCCTGGCCAAAAGGGTGAAACCCCATCTCTACTAAAAATACAGAAATTAGCTGGGCATGGTGGTGGGTGCCTGTAATCCCACTTACTCAGGAGGCTGAGGCAGGAGAATCGCTTGAACCAGGGAGGCGGAGGTTGCAGTGAGCCAAGATTGTGCCATTGTACTGCAACCTAGGTGACAAGAGTGAAACTCTGTCTCAAAAATAAATAAATAAATAAATAAAAATTCTGTTTTGCATTTTTCTACAAATGACTTTCTTACATTCATATTTAGATACCTGAAAGTTCCTGCTAGTATAGTTTGCTTTGTAAGGTTGTTCTCCAAATGAAAAGAGCCATTACATCTAAAATCCTCTTAATGATGGACCTAAATTTTGAATGGAACAATATATGCTACAGTTCTAAAAGACAAAGATATTTAGCAGGAGAAACTTACCGGCAATGAGAACCATATTCATAGATTATTTTAATGCCTTTATGAGTGAGATGAAAAATAGTTAATGGAAAGATAGTTTTGAGATTGTGGCATGTCAAGAAGGTATCTCATTAAATATGGAAGGAGGCAGACATAAAAGAGGTTCATATGTTATATTCACAAACCATTTCTTCTCAATAGTTTGTTTTGGCATTATTAACATGATAATCCTCTTCTGGGCCAGGTGTTTCTGTGTAAATGAGTTTTTTATATAAGACACCAGTTTCCTTTGGATGAATTTAAAATAAGACACTAAATCTAAGGTTTCCACAAAATTGAAAAAAAAAATCACTCTCCTCCCAAAAGTTCCTGGAAACATTTCCACATTAATCATCATATTTAAGGAAGAGAATTACATTACATAATTAGAACATGAAGACCAAATTATTTTCAATTTGTTTCATTACCTAAGAATCAAAGAGACATAATAGGTATGTGATTTCAGGGGGAAAAAATGCATTTCCTTAGCTTTGCAAAGATGCTCAGCCTATGTCATGGAAGCATGATAGTTAAAATGGAAAAGGAAGTTTTCTATTAAATATTTTTCTATGATCCTTGGAGGCCAATAGGATTACTTGGAGCCGGTAGGTAAAGGAATGGCTTTCACTAATTCTGAGAGATATCACATTCCTAAGTCTCAAATATATTTGTTGAAAAACTATAAAATAATAAAATATTTTATTTTAACAGATGGCCTCTGAAACAAATTTAATAGATATTAAAGCATTCAGTCCTTTGACCTGGCAATTTCATTTCACTTGAAGAAAAAACAAAAGTTATAAAACAAGTATTTGTGCTCAGAAACTAGAATACTTACATGTTTGTAAAGTCCTGCCCTTTTACAGAGCCCAGTTCTCTGAAAAGCCACTACTCTGGTGATGACAGCATCATAGAGATGCTAAGATCATGACAAATGATTTGGCTAGGGGAACAAGGAATCTTTGAATTATACCTTCTACACTTGCCATATAAAAATAATTAGTAATGTAATCATTACAAAAATATGTAATGATTATCAGTGTCTCCTATTTCCTTTTAGATGAAAAACTATCTTTCTGTTAGAACTAGAAATCAGTGTGACATCACTGAAGAACACATGGCTATGGAGTTAGACTTGATTTTAAATTTTAGCTCTGCCGCTTATTTGCAATGTAGCCTTACATTTCTTAATATCTTTGTGCCATGGGTTCCTCACCTGCTTGTTGTGAGGATTAAATAAGACAGTGCCTGGTACCTATCAGGTACTCAAATACAACATGTTAAATTAGTAAATTATGTTTTAAAGCTACCTGGCTCATTATAGATGCCTGTAAATATCAGAGTCCTTTCCCTTTGATGTAACTGACATAGAACAGAAACAGATGCACAGTTCCATAGACCCAGATGATTTCTGTAGCTTTCTGATTTTTCTCTGGTCCATGAGGTGTGCTTTTTAGATAAGTATTACTTCTTTAGTGTTTATTGCACCATCTTTACTCTTCAAATGATGCAGGCAAAATTCACATACAGGGTAATCTTATTTTTCCAAAAATTCTAACATACTTGTATTTTTATTTTGGTTTACAAACCTCATCTATGCAAGTAATCATAGTTTATGTATTGTGTATGATTTTTAGACAAAACATTTGCTCCATTTTACAAATGAGAAAAACTGAAGCTCACACGATGAACACAGCTATTCAATGGCAAGGACTTCTTTTATGACTCTAGATACAATGCTAACTTCAACCATATGCTAACTTCAAATTCCCACTGTTTTAGGAATTACCAGAGATTGTCAGAAGTGGCTTTCATTGTTATATGATTGTAGAGTATGAGACCCAATAAATCCATTACACACAATTTAACATTGGCTATTAATGTAACACTAGTACCTTTCATAAGCTAAGGTTAGGGTTTAAAGATTACACTGTCCGTTGGCCTGTCTCATATGGAACACTAAGCTTTTTAACAGTGTGTATGGTCAGGATAAATTTATTAGTTCCTAATAAAATAACAAGCTCAAAAGCTTGGAGGGGTTTTCACAGAGTAAGAATAAATGAGCACAGCCTACCCAAGCTAAAAAGATATTCTCTTAACTCCTGCTAAAGAAAACTTGCAACAATTTGCCAGAGGGAACAAAAACAAGATTAGAAACTGTCTCCACAGAAGTAGTAAACTTCAAAATCTTGACACAATAAATAGGCAATACTTAGGGTTGCTATTTAAAGTAAAAGTTGCTTTTTTCTCTCTCACTCACTACAAATCCTGTTTGTGTGTTAGTCCTAAACAGTGATTCTCAGCTTTGGCTGCACATTGGAATCACCTGGGGACCTTTAAGAACGTAGCGAGGCCTGAGTCTCATTCCCAGAGATTCTGACTCAATTGGTAAGGAATACTACTGGGCAGCAGCAGTTTAACAAAGCTGTTTAGGTAATTCTAACATGTATCCAAGGTAGAAAAACCACTACTCTAAGGCAATTTATTTGGGACTACGCTGATGGAATTTCAGCTTCATAGGATACTAATATTTATAAAGTATACACTGCATTTCTGGAATTATACTAAGTGCCTTCCGTAGTGTATCAAGACACTTTGGGTTAACTGTCTTGGACAAAATGTAATTTATTGACTCTTGTAACTAAAAAGTCTGGGGGATACAGCACAGCTGAATTCAGTCTTTCTTCTCTCCTACTCTTGGTTTCAACATTGCCTCCATTCTAAGACTAGGTGTCTTTTCAGAGTCAGAAAATAAGTCAGCAACTCCAGACCCTACATTCTCCTCACATTCAAATCCATAAAAGGAGAGCTAGGGTTTCTTTCTCAGACTCTGGCCAAAAGTGTCATGTGGCTCTGCTCAGGTCAGAGACTGTCTGTGATCCCTGAGCTGGGCTGAAGCTGTCATTTGTCCCCAGGCCTGTCCAATTACAGGGTCCATGCACCTTTTAACGCCTCCAAGGAAAGATTACCAGTTTGATTGGAAGAAAATGTTTCTCTCCCAATAGAGAATTTGACAAATTTAACTATCTCTAAATAAGAGTTTTCTTACCTTTGAAAATCTCTCCCAACTCTGCAGCTGGAGGCACTTCCTTTCCTCACTGCTTTGGATCTAGTTGTCCTTCCCTCCCCTTGCAATACAACCAGTTTTCTCCAAGGCAGGCCAGGCCTGTGTCCCAGGCTGGGAATCTCAGTGACAAAAATCTATATATTCCTTGGTTCTGAATGTGAATAATTAATCTCACATTTAAGTTTTATAATGCCTAATTTTCTGTGCCTGCTATAACAAATTACCATGCACTTTGTGGCTTAAAAGGACATAAACTTTTTCTCTCACAATTCTAGAGGTCAGAAGTTCAAACCAAGGTATGTGCAGAGGCATGATCCCTCTAGGACTTTAGGGAAGAATCCTTCCTTGCTTCTTCTAGCTTTGATGGCTCCAAGAATTCCTTTAGTCTTGGCACAGTTCCGATCTCTGCCTCCATCTTTGCATGGCTTTCTCTTTGTGTCTTCTCTTCTTCCGGTTTTTATAAGAATACTTACCACTGGATGCAGACCCTATGTGAAAAATTCAGTGGGAGAGTTCCCTCACAGGATATGCGACAGGGGTGTGACTCACCTATTCATCTGCTTGCCTCAGCTGCTCAAACTCCTTGTAGGAGGTGCAGAGACCAGGTCAAGTGCTTTGGTCTCCATCCCCGTAGTAGTGTCTAGGGGTGGATGCCTGCAGCCCCAGTGTTACAATGCTCTCTTAGCCTTGCTGTCAGCAGACAGCTTTAAGAGTTAACTAGCTCAGTGGGCACTCTGCCTTTTTGCAAGGGCAGAGGGCCAGTGTGACAGCTTTCTGTATCCCAAGTTACTGCCCAGCGTCTGGGAAGAATTGGATCACATTCGGGCTTAAAGGATGAATGCGAGATATTATTGAGTAGTAGAGGTGGCTCTCAGCAGGGTGGATGGGGAGCTGGAAGGGGAGATGGAGTGGGAAGGTGGTCTTCCCCCGGAGTTGAGCCATCCAGCAGCCAAACTCCTCTCCGACAACCCCCAGCTGAAATTCTATCAGCATTCAGATGTTTCTCCTCTTCTCTCTTTCTCTGCCGCATCGCTCTGCTGTTCATCTGCTTATCTCATCTCCTCATCTGCTGGCCTGCTCTGGAGCCTGGAGTTCAGGGTTTATATGGGTACAGGATAGGGGGTGTGGTGGACCAAAAGGCAACTTTTTGGTGTGAAAACAGGAATGCCTGTACTCATTTTGGGCCACAGGTATCCAGGCTTGAGGATGGGGCTTTTGCCGGGTAACTGCCCTCTTCTACCCAGCATTTCCCTGCCTCCTGTCTGTATCAATCTCACCTTGAGATCCTTAACTTAATTACATATGCAAAGACCCTTTTTTCTAAGTAAAATCACATTCACGGGTTCTGGGATTCAATTATGGAGATAATTGGGGAGGCATCATTCAACCCACTGTAATACTCATTGCCCTTTAGTTTCTGACCATTTTATCTTAAATATATTTTAAGTGATATCATTCACCTCAGAACTATTCTTTGACTCATCACATGTATGATGGGGCTGCAAAGGAAAGACCACAGTGGACATTTCATTTGTAAAGAAAAGGAATACTAAATTATGAGAGCAGGAAACTCTCTATGCATGTGTGGCTTATCAGTAGAAAACTAAAATTAATTTCTTAGGGCACAACACCTAGTATTGAACTTAAAAATGTAAGTATGAAAATAAACAGAAAAGAAAAGGCATAGTTCCACAGATCTTAAAGTTGTAGGGAAAGATGACCATTTGTAATAACAAGTACAGTTAGTTGTAGAAAATTTGAAGATGCAAGCATAGTATGAAATTGTATTAAAACTCTAAATTCAAGTGACAGAAACCCAACTCAAGCTTTGTTAAGAACATAGCTTGGTTCATGCTCTGGAAAGTCTAAGGAGGTGTGTTAAATTCAGGATCAGCAGAATTCAAGGATATAAACAATGTGCAACCATCAGGAATTTGGTTTTTCTTTTCTTCCTTGTCTTCCTGGTTTGTTTTCCATGGGTACTGTTTCACGCCCAGACATGCTTCCTGATGTAGAAGGAGAGATGGCAGTAGATCTTTGCAGGTTTTCCTGGCCTTTGGTACATTCAGTCTCAAAAACACAGACACTCTTTTCTGAGATTCATTTCAGTCCCCAGAAATGGATCTTGACTGGCCCTACTTGAAATAGATCTTTTCCCTTTTACAAATCTCTGTGTCTAGGGGAAGAATGTACTGTGATTGGTTAGCTTGACATCATGTGGAAAGATAGCTCCTAAGACAAAAGTAGTATTCCTGTTATTAGAAGAAAGAAATGGAGACACCAGACAGGTAACAACTCATGCCCACTTACATGCTCTTAAGAAGGAAGAGCTTCCTGGGACCCTTATGTTAAGTAAAGACATCAGTCTAAGGGATCAGAAGTAATCAGTCAGCATGCTTGCATATAGCGAATCCCAGATGCTGAAGAAAGGAAGAGAAATGGGAGGGCATTTTGCTTGAATAATGATCTCTGTGAGGCCAATAGGATATGAGTGCATTATTTGTCCACTCTAGAAGAATAAGAGCATAAAAAGGAACACTGGGGTAAGATCTGGGAGATTGGGAACCTCCATCAGGTTCTGCTATTTACCAGCCAATATTACAACTTCTGAGACCCTTTGTGGCTTTAAGGCCCTAAGGATTACACCAATTAAAGTGATGGAGCATGAGTTCAGTTGTAATGTTTAAATACCAGTTTTCTTATGCTGTCATGAGGTGGTGGGACAGTTTGAAGTGAAAGTATGTGAATTTAACAAAAGATATCATAGATAAACATTTATTTTTCAAAATCCTAAATGTAAGGAAGCCTTCCAAATTATGACCAGAATATGATTTATTTTCTGCACCTTCCCCAAAAGCAGGAAACAGAATTACACTTTTTAGGATAAGACTCTTAATTCTGGCAACATGTTGTTCTCAAGAAGTTTAAGAACAAGATTAAATACTCTAACACAAGTCTATTTGTGGTTTGTGTTTGTCTTGAATTAGAGTATGTACCTGTTAAAATTATTAGAAGTTTGAATCTGAAAAATATCGCTTGAGCAAATGGTTATAAGTTATTTAAATAAAAAATAAAATGCATCATTGTGTTTTCTCACTGGTTCTTTTAAATAGACTAAAGTGTCTCATTTTTTCTTGCTAAATTTATCCAACTTTCTAATCTTCTAGCTTTAGCAAATCTAGCTTTCCTGCATTTATTTAGTTCTATACTAAGATAATTAAATATTTAAGCTGCATCATTCATATATCTAAAATACTAAGTAGGAAGAACAAGTCATTTTCTTGAACATCCTCCTCAATATTGATCTGTGTTTGCCCCCTGTCTTCCTGACACTAGAGTTTTCTTCATTCCATTTAAGCACTTAATTACAATAATTATCAAAGAAAGAATATGAACATAAATTGTGAAGTGATAGTTGAGTATAATTTCCTTTTTCCCTGGGACATATTTTCTCTACAAAAAAAACAAAAATCTTACTTTCAAACGACATAGGCAGCTGTGGTATGGGAGGCTTGATTACATGTCAGTTTCTTAAATAAAGTGTCTCTCACTGCCACAGCAGGGGAGCCAGGTACCCAGAGGAGATGCCGCTCTTCACTTATGCTGTGACTCTACTGACCAGGGCAGGACAATGCGAGAGCTTATGATTCAAAGGTGGGAAATCATAGTCCTTTGTTTCATTTTTATCTGGGGAAAGTCAGTTGCTTAAAATGAGAGCAGGTGGGATATAGCAATTAGTATGATAATAATAATAGGGTTAGATAAAAACCAGTGGTGCAGCAAGAGTATTTTTCAAACTCTTAAATAGCTTATCTTACTTCACTTTTTACAATGTAAAAAGTTATTATGAAAGGAGGAGAGAAGTTATTTTCATGAGCACCTACTTTGTGCTGAAGATGCTTTATTTATTTATTTATTTATTTATTTATTTTTTGGTCTTTTACAGAAAATCTTCAAAGTGCTATGTACATTTTAAAGAGAACAGTATGGTTAAATAACTGGGCTAAGGTCACAAAGTTAGAAGTCATCAAATGCCAGAGTCAAACAGTGTGTTTCGTTCCAAAGCTTCTACTCTTTCTCCTCTAACAAACAAACATATTGTGTTCCTTTAAAAAAATTATGACCAGTTTTTGTTTTTTTAAAAATTTTATTATTATTATACTTTAAGTTTTAGGGTACATGTGCACAATATGCAGGTTTGTTACATATGTATACATGTGCCATGTTGGTGTGCTGCACCCATTAACTCGTCATTTAGCATTAGGTATATCTCCTAATGCTATCCCTCCCCACTCCCCACACCCCACAACAGTCCCCAGGGTGACCAGTTTTAATGTATTTGTATCACCACTTTAAAATAGAAAACTGAATCTTTCTTTGCTTCTTGTATCAGTATCTAAGGAGGAAGTAATTGCCATGGTCTGAACTTAGTGGAAATATAGTAAGTGGGGTAAATCAAAGGTGAGGGGCCAGATTCCCAAAGTCCTATTCAAACAGCTTTTTCCTGCATTTGTGGAGTGTTGGGATCAGCTTTGAGTTGATGAAATTCTGAAACTTCTGACAAAATATGCCATCAATGAATCACAGAGACATGATATAATCGTAACAAGAAGCAGGTCCTGTGATACCTAAACTGTTATTATCAGCTTTATACAATGCAGATTCATGGGCCAAAATGCAGCATTCACACAGAGAGGTATGTAAATCCATCTATTTAGTACACATTTAAGGATGCATTCAACATCCAGGAAATCCATTATGTGTAATGACTCATGCTTTATTAAATGCTTCCCACATGCAAGTAGTAGTCAAAAAGGGAATTACTGATATCAAGACAACTGAAAGCCGCCCTCTATTATTCTGTGAAATGCAGTATTTTAAAAGTGTGCTAGATGACGTTAGTGTTGGGGGTATATTCAGGGCCACCACATACACACTTTGGTGCACAAAATGAGTTCTGCCCCGAAGCACCTTCCTGAAGGGGTAAGTGGGGGCTTAAAAACAGACCTAGTTTTACTTATCAAGACCTATGTTCTTATTCAAAGTTGAGTCAGGCCAGAGCCCTTCCAGAGGAGAATGAAGCCCCTTTTTTGCCGTGTTATGTGAAGATTTTTAAATTTGTATTAGAAAAGTGTAACCACTGCATCAACTAATGATTTTATTTTCCTTTTTAAAATTATTAAACTAGACCAGGCATGGTGGCTCACACCAGTAATCCTGACATTTTGGGAGGACAAGGTGGGTGGATAACTTGAGTCCAGATGTTGGAGACCAGCCTGGCCATGATGGCAAAATTCCGTCTCTACTAAAAATACAAAAATTAGGTGGGCATGATGGTGCGCAGCTGTAATCCCAGCTACTCAGGAAGCTGAGGCACGAGAATCACTTGAACATGGGAGGCGGAGGTTGCAGTGAACCAAGATCACATCACTGCACTCCAGCCTGGGTGACAGAGCAAGACACGGTCTCAAAAAAAAAATTAAACTACAGTGTGATTAAATCATAAGTGTGTTTAACTATGAGAAATGCATTTTTAAAACTACTACAAGAGGTGATAAAACAAATCAAGGAAGAAAGTATGCAAATAATTAAAATTTGGAAATTACTGGTCCTGGGGAAATACCATAAGCTTTGGAGTAAGACAAATAATAGGATGTTCAAGCCTGCTCCTGTTGTGCTTTAGCAAGTCACTTGGTTGTTCAGCTTCAGTGTTCTCTCATTCTATGTAAGAATGTTCTCTCCAAAGGACTGTAGTGAGAATGAAATGAGATGTCTATGAAGTTGTCAACAGACCTTACTTTTCCATCCTTCATTTTTCTTTGTGCAAGTCTGAATTCTTAGTCATCCTAGCTGGCTTCCTTGACGGTGTTAACTCAAAATTCTGAGTTCTTGTGGGTATCATACTCAGAAGGATACCATACTGGTCCTAAGGTACTCAGTCGTCTTAGTTATTTCAGCTTTAGTGCCCCATGATTTTCATCTTTCCTATTGCACATCCCACTCACCTCACCACCCCCACGGCGACATTCCAGGGAGCAGGTATAAATACACACAGTCAGTCACACTCACATGCATTCACAGGTTCACACACATTCACATACTCACATACACTCTCATGTACACTCATCTGTTCACACACATTCACATAACCACTCACGCACAAACTCACATGCATTTTTCACTTACATTCACATACATACACACGTGTTCACACACACATTCGCATATTCATACATTCACACTTTCACACACATACACATACATGAGAAACACTGCAGCCACACAGAGCTACTCACCATTTCCTGTTTCCCTTCTGTATTCCTTTGTTCATTATTGTACCTTTGTCCACAATTCCCTCTTACATCTCCTTCTACTTAAATCTTTCCGTTCCTTTAGGTTTAGTTAACAAATCAACTCCCCTGTTAAGTCTTACATGATCACTCAACCAGACATGACCTTACCTTTAAGTATTTTTTTTTAAATCTTTCCTAAGGTTGTAGATATATTCTACCCTAAGATGTAATTACTTATGTTGTTTGACTAAATATCAGACTGTAAAGTTTTTGAAGGCTATGATCATGTCTTAGTTATTTCATCCCCCACAATGATTGTCTTCATTATGTTGAAGAAATATAATCTTAGTTAACTTTAATGAAATAGACTCTTTCAGGTTCCAAGCAATGGAGATGTATTTAAAATAGTTAAGTCACTTGGGGATAGATGTTTTAGTGATATACAACTTATTTTATCTGGATTTACTATTGTCAATCAAGGCAAAAGAGAAATCTGACTGGTTCTGTTGATCCATCTAGTATAAGGTTTACATTCATAATCTAATTAGTAATAAACAGATATTTCATGTCCCAAATTCAGCATTCCTCAAAAGTGGGAAATAGATATGCTGGGTCCTTGAAATATTACAGATTTCTCTCCAGTTCCTTCCTTGGGCCACTTGTTTCCATACCTCTTCTTCAGGTCAGTATTATTTAGCTTCCAGGCATAAATTCTGTTGAGTTGTATATCTTTTTATAAGGAATAGCAATATAAAATAATAAACATATCTTTATAAAATAGCTGTACAAATATTACTACAAAAAAGATATAGTATGTGTCTATGTGTCTGTTTCTACCCCAAGGAGTGTGAGCATTCTACAGATCAGCTAGCTCAAAAGTAAGAGGGAAAGTGTGAATGAGCTGAGTGTGCCCAGTCGTTTTTGCACTTATCCATCAAGTCAGTCATGCATTGTGGAGTTGGTGGGGCTAAGTGATGGGAAAGAGAAAAGCAGGAGGTATATTTCTCCCATCTTTTTCCCTGAGGAGGAATGAAATGGAAATTCTTTCTCATCTCTGAAAAACCTGAAGAGTGAGAAATAAGTACCTTTTCATTTCCCCTCATCTATTGAGTCTAAGAATTAAACCCCAGGGGTATAATTATCCTGCAGAGGTGAGGGGATTAGAAGTGAACCAGGACAGTCCTTCTTCCACTTTCAGGTACTTCTGCACCAAAAACTTACTTTTGCAATGCAGTTTTAGGTACTTTCCTAGCCCAATGATTGACAGACAGTTTAGCTGTTGCCTTTAGAAGGCTCTGAAATTATTTCTCTTGGAATCCACTAGCCCCCAGATTTATACTCAAAACTATTTCCCATCTAAAATTAGGCCCCCAAAAAACTAGTATATCAAGATTTTGGAAGGAGGCCCCTGGGGAGGAATAATTTATCGATGCACACAGGAGAAATATTGTTGTCTCTTTACGTTGAGGAAGAAAATAAGTGCTTTTGAGCTTAAGAGAAGTAAAACTATTTTAGAATACAAGTTTTTTATTCAATTCTTTTAGCCACTCTTTGTTTATAGTTTAAATCTGATATCCACCAAAACATTTTCCCAATGTAGAGATACTATAAAAAATAATTTGCTTTCCAGAAGCCCATTTTAGTCAAAAAGAAACGTTAAACCAATTTAGGAAGGGGCAGAGCTCATATGACCACAGTACTTTTATTTTAAGTGTATAAATCCTATTAACTTGACAAATGTCAATTGAGAAGCTCTACTAGATACTTGTCATATCCAAGAGATACTTATGCTAGTAAACGGTTGTTGAATATATTTAGACTTTAGGTTCTATGCTGGTGTGCACTTGGCCATGGAAAGTGGTTGGGTAGCGAAGGACTACAAGGCCCAGGATCTGAAGCCAAATCACAATGGCACTAAGTTACAGGCAGGAATACAGTTGGCATAGGAAGAGGTATTACATAGGTACTGCAATTGCATGGGAAGTGTCTGGGGTGTTGAGTAGAGTGGAGAGAAGAAGGTTTAAAGTAAAGCAGGTAAGCCAGTATTGGTATTTAGAAGTATATACGGGCAAATAAATCCAGGCTCCATACACTTCAGGATTGGGGAGTGAGGGGAATACTGTGATAAAGTTATAAAGCAGAGTGGCTAAGAAACAAGATCTGGGCAATAATACTAATGTCCTCAGTCAAAGGAAGGATTATTCAGATAAAAAATGGCTAATCATTACACATGGTCACAAATCTCATTAAGATTCTTCAGAGCTTTGGCACTAAGACCAAATTCATCGTATTAAAGGTAAGGATTTCCCTTTTACTTCTCTGGTACTCAATTACTTGGAAAAGGATGGTCATTAACTTCTCTGTAATACAGAATGAAAAAGCAATATAGAGAATTATGGCCATGGTAATGAGCTTAAGTCTTCTCACTCACTCATAGTCTTTTACTTTTCCCACCAGTCCTACTGTCTTAGTTTGCACTGTAAAATAGAGCAGAGAAATTACATAATTACCTGAATTATTTAGACTAAAAAAAAGTGATTGCTATGAATTACAGGAGCTCTTTCAAAATTTCCTCAACATGAAATATTTTTACTCTTTTTTCTTATTTTTAGTGATTTTAGACAGGCTCATACATCTCTCTTTATGGAAAATGATTAACATGGACTCAACTGGGGAGAAATCAAATTATACAGTTAATAAAAACTAAACCTTCAGTCCACGCGAAGTAACAATGTAGCACCAGGGAAAATTAATTACTGCATTTTAGAGTGAAAGGAGTCAGACATGTCAAGTTTGAATTTAGCCTTAGGAGCTACAACAAATTTTAGTTCTTTTGTGACTGAATTTTTATAGTACAAAATTACTCAAAATAATGTAGCCGTATTCTACAAATGTAACTAGCTTTTTAAAATTTTCTAATGATTAATGCTTAAATTGCTTGAATTTTTTGTAGGAATCTTTTCAGATTCATTGTGTAAATTTGAGTCATTCCTTTGGTTCTAGCTGTGAACAATCACTGATCGGTGAAAAATTATTAAAATTGCTCCATTTCACGAGAGTGTTTAAGTGTTTTTGATACTTCTAAAGAGATTCTCAAAGTGCCTTGATGCTGAGAATTTATATGTAATCATTCTCAAATACAGCATAGTGCAGTATTTAAGAGCTCAAATGAGTAGTTGTCAATGGAGGCAGATTACTAACAAACAATTGGGAATAAACCAGTAATTTATAGACTTAAAATTATAGTGTATTTTTCTGTTATTTTGTGTGAACTAGATAGACTGATATCCTGAGAAGTTTACATTTTCCTGTCTATTTAAGTGGTACTGAATAAACCTAGGCAACAAAAAAATTATATAATATGTGATTGTTAGTCTCTGTCTTATAATCACCAGATCATTTTGAAGGAAGAGGTTATACAGGTCTTTGAGTGCAGGCTTCTCTCTTGTAGGACCATTCAGCCTTTGCTTGAACACAAGCTGAATGAATTCACTACTCAGCACACCGCTTTTTCTACCAGGGAGCAGCTCTAATGCTTGGTGACTGGTCTGACTTACCGTCCAGATAAAGTCCTCAGCTTGACTCTTTGGCAAACTCCCAGGAGTTAACTATAAAGGAGTCTGATCCCTCAGACTTTTGATGTCTCTTTAATTATGAGGATCCCACTTATTTCTTTCTTCACCAGACAGTCCAACATAAATGCTCTCGAGGTTCCCCATTTAACATAATTTTTAGATCTCACAACTACCCCGGACACAGAGTCAGGATGTAGTTTAATCAGTGTCTGATTTCAAATAAAAACTCCGAAAGAGTCTGATCAGACAACTGTAAAAGATCCCTTAAGTAAGTGTATGAGATTTGGTATCACACAATTCCTTATGTCCACTGCAGGAAAATAGGTGGTTACTTTATTATTTCTTCATTGAGGTAGGTTAACAAAATTGACATATAAATTAAAATTATATCACAATATTTTTCTCCATGTGATTTCCAATTTCATATTGGTGATAATGACATACGTTTAAATAGTGTAAATTCAGATAGCTAATTTGATTACAGCTGTGAACACACATCTTAATTAAAATTATTAAGGTAATTCTTTTCACAAGACTTCTCAAATCACTTTCTATACGCTTAAGGCAAGGATCATCAATACACAGGAAAAACATATTGATAGATAATGATCACTTTGTATAGACAAAATGAAATAAAAATGAGTAGGAAGGAAGTGTATATTTTAAATAAGAAGGCATAAGTTATGGCTAATGCTGCTGCAGTATCAGCACCATTACTGTTAGAGAATGAGCTGCTATTTTGCCCAGCACCCCCATCCCTACCCTCATCTTGCTACCATTGCAACGAAATGATTGAATTGTTTGTTTCTTTCCCAATATTTGTGCCTTAAACTTCTAATTCTATTTTTCCTTATACTTCTTGAGTGAATACCCCCTCCTCTTAAAAGTGTTCCTTAAAACTGATAATGAGTACTTTTCTTTGTTTCTTAACATTCTTTTTGTACAGTGACCTTTCCACCAGTAGCCTCTTGGCTTTGTATGTTATAAAAGCTGCAAAGAGCTTTCCTTTGGAAACAATCCAAATGAAATAGATACATATACTTAAAAGTGTTTTATTTAGACTTAGAAGTTTATATTTGTCCCCACAAATTCTAAGCAGTATTGATCTATGTCCTTGCCAGGCTAAAACCAGACAGGAGACAAATCTTACTTTAAAAAATTCTCTTGTAAGAATAAAGTACAACTAAAATATCTTTAAAAGCTTCTTCATCCAAATGCATGACAAATGTAACTCTATTGTAAATGCAAGGTACAATTAATTTTGGCTTAGAATTGGAAAACTACCTAAGAGGACACATCAAGGTCTTTTATGGTGCTGGGTAGGTTTCTAAAGAGCATTAAATTTTTTTTTGAAGTTAATTATGTGAATTATGTGCCCACCATTTTCTATTCTAGTGCTTCTTCCTAAAAGAAATTCTGCAAAATACCAAATATAGTGATTTGGCAATGATTGATAGGGTGACAAAGGGAATTTCCTTGAGAGGCAAGAAAGTACAGTGGGAAGTCAGAGAATAATCGATTTGAAATCTAGTCTTATCCTTAATAAAAATAACTTGATGCAGTTATATGTGCACTCTCATCTTCTGTTAAATAAGAATAATAATCTCTACCTCCTAATTTTGTTGTAGCATACACTAGGTAATGAATACATAAATTTTATTTCTTTTGTAGTACACATTGCCTCAAAGTTAACAATAAGTTGCAGACTTATAATGAAGTAGGAGATACACTTGTAATCTTTAAAATGAAAAGATTTATAGAGATTTTACAAATTTATTGCTAATTAGTATTTCATTTCTTCTCCAATTATAGCCATTCTTAATAACTAAAAAGTGACCATGAAATTCATCATCAATAACATCAACACTTGGTTCATCTCTATCTTGTTATTACCATCTTGTGGTCATGTTTCCATAAATTATTCTCTTCCAGAGAATATAATAAACATGGAAAAGGTCATAAAACTTTATTAGCATCTCTGGAAACAAACTGAACCAAGAGACATTTTAAACTGTGTATCAAAATGAGATCAGGTTTCAATTCAATTTTATTGACAAGTTAAAATCTTTGGAGCCCAGTACCCGTGCACACCACATTACAACTGATGGCACCTAGAGCCCGAGGACCAGTCCTCTGAGGGCCTACCTCTACTACCACCAGCAACCTTGCTTCCTCCACTGGTAGAGTCACTGCACAACCATGCATGTGCCTCAGGCTCTTGAGAGCCAGCTTTTTCAGCAACGCTTCCCCAGCAAAGATATGCCACAGCCTCCACAAACAGCCACAGCTTAGGCCACAGAAGCACTTTCAAACACCACTAACATTGATTACAGCCAAAGAAATCATAAGGAGATTATACTACTGTGCCCACACAGAACAAAAGCCAAAGCACTCTACCCAATGAACACCATAGATACATCTACAGGGGAAAAAAAAAAAATTTCCTAGAAAAGGTTCTCCATACAACTGGAAAAAATAACGGTTTCACCAGATGTGCAGATATCAATGTATAGACACAAGAAACATAAACAAGCAAGTAAACATGATACCTCCAAAGAAACACAGCCACTAACAGACCTCAAGTAAAAGAAAATATATTGAAATGCCTAAAATGTAATTCAAAATAATTATCTTAAGGGAACTCAGTGAGATACATGAGAACACTGATAGACAATTAAACAAAATTAGGCAAGCAATTCATGATCTGACTGAGAAATTCAACAGAAATAGATCTAATAATAAAAAACCAAACAGAAATCATATTTGAAGATTTTTGTGAATAAAATTAAAAGTACAATTGAGCACTTCAATAATAGACTAGATCAAGCAATGAAGGAATTTTTGAACTTGAAAAGGAGTCTTTTGAAATAAGCCAGTCACACACACAAAAAAAGAATAATAAAAGCCTATGTTACATGTGGGATACAATTAAGTAAACAAATATTTGCATTTTGGGAATTCTAGAAAAATAAAAGATTGGAAAAGCCATAGAAAACCTATTTAATGAAATAATAACTAAAAATTTTCCAAGTTTTAGAAGAGATATAGACATCCAGATCCAAGAAGCTGAATGATTCCCAAATATAATCAACCCAAAAGTGTTCTCTATGAGGTATATTATAATCAAATTCTCAAAAGCCAAAGAGAGAATTCTAAAAACAGCAAAAACAAACAAACAAACAAACAAAATTCAAGTCACATATAAGGGAATCCCCTTCAGACTAACAGGAGATCTTTTAGCAGAAATTTTACAGGTCAGAAGAATAGTATGAGGTAATATATTCAAAGTGCTGAAAGAGAAAGAAAGAAAGAGAAAGAAGAGAGAAAGAAAAAAGAAAAGAAAAAGACAAGGTAAGGAAAGGAAGAAGAGGAAGGAAGGAAGGAAAGAGAGAAAGAAAGAGAAAAAAGACAAAGAAAGAAAGAGAAAGAAAGAGAAAGAAAGAGCTAGCCAAGAATACTATGCACAGCATGGCTATTCTTCAGAATTGAAGGTTAAAGTTTTACTCAGAGAAGCAAAAACTGAATAATTCATTACCATCAGACCAGCCATACAAAAAAATGCTTAAGGGAGTTCTTTATCTTAAAGTTAAAGGATAATATCTATCATTATGAAAACATACAAAAGTATATAAAACTCACTGGTAGAACAGATATACAAATAAGACAGAGAAAAGAATCAAATGATATCACTACAGAAAACCAGCAAATGGCAAAGATAAAGAATAAGAGAGGAAGAAAGAGTAAAGAATATACAAAACTACCAGAAAACAATTAATAAATGATGGGAGTAACTCCTCACCTATTAATAACAACCTTGACTGTAAACAGTTTAGGTTTCCCAATTAAGAGACATAGACAAGATTCAACTATCTGCTGCCTACAAGAAACTAACTTCAACTGTAAAGACACACATAGATTCTAAGTGAATAAATGGAAAAAATACATTCTATGGAAACCAAAAGCATGCAGGAGTTGCTATATTTGGACAAAATAGACAGTAAGTAAAAATCATAAAATATTATAAAGAAGGTCATTGTATCATAATAAAGGGGTCAATTCAGCAAAAGGACATATCAATTATAAATAGACATGCACCCAACAATGGAGCACCCAGATACATAAAGCAAATATTATTAGTGCCAAAGAGAGAAGTAGACTCCAATAAAATAATAGTTGGAGACTTCAAAATACCACATTTGGCCTTGGACAGATTATCCCGATAGAAAATCAACAAAGAAACATTGGACTTGAACTGCACTATACAGCAAATAGGCATAATAGACATTTGCAGGACATTTCATGTAATAACTACAGAATACATATTCTTCTCATCAGGACATGAAACATTCTCCAGGATAGAGCATATGTTGGGCCACGAAACAAGTCTCAGCAAATTTTTAAAAATTTAAATCATGTCAAGTATCTTCTCAGACCACAATAGAATAAAACTAGAAATAAATAACAAAAAAAAGGAACTTTGGAAACCACACATGTCCATGAAAACTGAACAACATTTTGCTGAATGACCAATGAGTCAATGAAGAAAAAAAAAATCTTGAAACAAATGAAAATGGAAACACAACATACAAAAACCTATGGGTTACAGAAAACGCAATACTAAGTAGAAAGTTTATAGCAATAAATGGCTATCTCAAAAGAAGAGAAAGTTTTCAAATAACCCATGTACCTCGAGCATCCAGGGAAGCAAGGAAAACTAAACCCAAGGTTAGTAGGAGAAAAGAAATGAAGATCAGAACAGAACTAAATGAAATAAATACAAAATACAAAAGATCAACAAAATGAAAAGTTGCTCTCTTGAGAAGAAAAACAAAATCAATAATCCATGATGCAGACTAAGAGAAAAGGGGAGAAGACCCAAATAAATAAAATTAGAAATGAAAAAGAAGACATTACAACTGATACCACAAAAATACAAAGGAGACAGACTATTATGAAAAACTCTATGCCAACAAATTGAAAAACCTAGAGGAAACAGATACAGTTCTAGACATATATAACCTACCAAAATTGAACAAGAAAGAAATAGAAAACCTAAACAGACCCATAAAAAGTAATACGATTGATCAATAATAAAGTCACCCAACAAAGTAAAGCCAGGCTTCACTGCTGAATTCTACCAAACTTTTAAAGAACTAAAACCAATTATCAAACTATTTCACAAAAACTGAAAAGGAAGGAATTCTTTCTAGCTAATTATACAAGGCCAGCATTACCCTGGTACCAAAACTAGAAAATGACACAAAAATATGTTCATCTATGCATTTATGTGCATCTGGTGAACATGGATGCAAACGTCCTCAACAAAATACTAGGAAACTGAATATAACATTACATTAAAAGATAATAGATGATAATCAAGTAAGATTTATCTCAGGGATGCTAGGAAATTTCAACATATGTAGATTAATAAATGTGATGCATTATATCAACAGAAGTAAGGACAAGAACCACGCGATTCTCTCAGTAGGTGCAGAAAAAGTATCTGATCATATTCAGCATAGCTTAATGATAAAACAACTTTCAACAAATTAGGTATAAAAGAAACATACCTTGACAGAATGAAGGCAATATAAGACAAAACTACAAATAACATCACACCTAATTGGGAAAAGCTAAAAGCCTTTCCTCTAAAAAACTGAAACAAGATATGAATGCCCATTTTTACCTCTCTTATTCAATATAGTACTAAAATGTCTAGCAATTAGATAAGAGAAAGAAAAAGAGGGCATCCAAATTGGAAAAAAAGGAAGTCAAATTGTCCCTCTTTGCAAATAACATTTTTGTGTTATTTTTTATTTAGAAAATAAATTTTTGCATTATTTTTTCTTTAGAAAAACCTAAAGATTCCACCACATGTCTCTTAGAATAAATTTACTAAAGTTACAAGATATAAAATCAACATACAAAAATTAGTAGTGTTTCTAAACAACAAGAACAAAGTAGGTAAGAAAGAAATTATGAACACAATCCATTTAAAATAGCTACAAAAATAAATACCTAGAAATAAATTCAGCCAAAAGATGAAAGATCTCTACAATGAAACAGTAAAACACCGATTTAAAAAATTAAAGAGGACCCCCAAAAATAAAAAGACATTCCATACTCATGGATTGGAAGAATTAATATGGCTAAAATGACCATCATATCCAAAGCAATCTATAAATTCAATCCAATTCCTATCAAAATATCAATGACATTCTTCAAACAGCAAAAACAATTCTAATACTTGTATGGAACCACAAAAGACCTCAAGTATTCAAAGCAATTCTGGGGAAAACAAACAAACTGAAGGCATCATACTATCTAACTTAAAAAATATATATGCTACAGTATAGTAACCAAAACCAAAACATAGTATTGGTTCAAGAACTGGCACATAGACCAGTGGAACAGAATAGAGAACCCAGAAAAAAAATCCATGTATTCACAGCTGACAGATTTTTGCCAAAGGTTCCAAGAACATACATTGGAGAAAGAATCGGCTCTTCAATACATAGTGCTGGGAAAACTGGATAACTGTATGCAGAAGAATGAAACTAGACCCCTCTCTCTCACCATATCCAAAAATCAACTCAAAATGGGTGAAAGACTTAAATGTAACACCTGAAACTATAAAACTATTAGAAAAACATAGGGAAAATGTTTCATGACATAGGTCAAGGCAAATATTTTATGGGTAAGACTTCAAATGCACAGTCAATGATATCAAAAGTAGACAAATGGGAGTATGTCAGACTAAAAGCCTTCTGAACAGCAAAGGAAACAACCAAAAGAGTGAAGAGATAACCAGTAGATGGGAGAAAATATTTGTAAACTATTCGTACAAGAGATTAATAACCAAAATGTACAAAGAACTCAAATGACTCAGCAACAACAACAACAACAGCAAAAAACATATAATTCAATTAAAAGATAAGCAAAGAGGGCCGGGCGCGGTGGCTCACGCCTGTAATCTCAGCACTTTGAGAGCCCAAGGTGGGTGGATCACAAGGTCAGGAGATCGAGACCATCCTGGCTAACGTGGTGAAACCCCATCTCTAATAAAAATACAAAAAGCCAGACGTGGTAGTGGACGCCTGTAGTCCCAGCTACTCGGGAGGCTGGGGCAGGAGAATCACTTGAACCTGGGAGGTGGATGTTGCAGTGAGCTGAGATTGCACCACTGCACTCCAGCCTGGGGGCAGAGTGAGACTCTGTCAAAAAAAAAAAAAAAAAAAAAAGATAAGCAAAGAATCTGAATAGAAACTTTTTAAAAGAAGATATACAATTGGCCCATAAGCATATGAAAAAATAATCAGCACCACTAATAATCAGGGAAAAGTGAATCAAAACCACAATGAAATATCACCACACCCCTAGTTAGAATGACTATTATCAAAAAGGTAAAAAGTAAATGCTGGTGAGGATTCAAAGAAAAAGGAACTCTTATACACCATTGGTGGGAAGTAAATTAGTACAGCCATTGTGGAAAAACCATGTAGTTTCCTCAAAAAACTAACCATAGAACTACCAACAATTCTTCTACTGGGTATTACCAAAAGGAAAGGAAATTAGTATATCAAAGAGATATCTGCACCCCCATGTTTATTTCAGTACTATCCACAATAGTGGAGATACAGAATCAACCTAAATGCCTATTAAAAGATTAATAGATAAGAAAATACGGTGTATATAGGCTGGGAGTGCGATGGCTCATGCCTGTAAATCCCAGCACTTTGGGAGGCCAACGTGTGTGGGAGTTCCAGACCAGTCTGACCAATATGGTGAAACCCCATCTCTGCTAAACATACAAAAATTAGCCAGGCATGGTGGCGTGTGCCTGTAGTCCCAGCTACTCAGGAGGCTGAGACAGGAGAATTGCTTGAACCCAGGAGGCAGAGGTTGCAGTAAGCCGAGATCACGGCACTGCATTCCAGCCTGGGCAACAGAGTGAGACTCCGTAAAGAAAAAAAAAAGTATATATAATATATACCACGAAATACTATTCAGTACAAAAAGAATGAAACCTTGTCATTCATGAAAACATGGATGAGTTTGCAGTGAAAGTTAAATGCTACTTGTTCTCACTCGTATGTGCGAGCTGAACAAGTTGATCTCATAGAAGTGGAGAGTAGAGTTGCAATTATTAGACACTGAGAAGAGTCGGGAGAGAAGGATAGGGAGAGGTTGGTTAATGAATTAAAATTTACAGCTAGTTGGGAGGAATAAATTTTAGTGTTCTATAGCATTGCAGGGTGACTTTAGTTAACAATCATTTATTGTATATTTTCAAATAGCTAGAAGAGAGGATTTTGAATGTCTCCAACACAAAGGATAAATATTGAGGTGATGGATATGCTAATGATTCTGATTTGATACATGAATCAAAATATCACTCTGTATCCTATAAACACATACAATTACTACGTGTCAACCGAAAATAGAAGCAAAACTAATTTCTGGAGCCAAGCACAGACACTATACGAGTCATAATTTCTGACTATCGAAAAATGATAATGACAGTACCAGGGGTGGGTTTCCTATTCAGGGACAATAGTGACTGGCAGTAATGGTGGGGAACTATTGAGGAGGACATTGCCTTGTTTCTTAAATGTCTCTAAGCCTTCAATATCTTCAGCATGTCTGTGCCTTCATGCTAATTAAAAATTCACATAAATATGCTTTTAAAATTAGTAAAATTGTGGCCTCAGGTGAGTTCTTAAATGGCAGTAATATCTCTGGAAATACTTAACCTGTTCATTGAAAACTGAGCCTCTAGAGTGAATGCAGCTAACTTTTCAAAGCTCTTAGGGAAAGGAACACTCACAATATGGGAAAAGATACCTGTGGGGAGGGAACAAACAGGAAAGTGAGAAAACAGCAGGAAAAGCTCTGCCAAAAAAGGATTCAGTACATTGGAAACTATAAAGTCAGTGAGAAGTTGATCTTTCATTATCGTAACCAGCTGAGAAAATTCTGCCTCTAGCATCTGCTAGTAAAGGCGTGAAAGAGAGAAGACTCATTTTGCCAAACTTAGATCCCACTCATAGCTGATGAGTTCTAACTTTAGAGGTGGAAAATAAAATTGAGATTTTGAGCCTGGAAGTTCGATGAACTTTAACATAGCATGGAGATTTGCTTATTGAATTTTTTCCCGTTTCCTATTTTTTCTTTTCATTTCCATCCTTCCCTCCTTCCCTCTCATCCTTCCTTTCTTCTTTCCTTCCATCTTTCTTCCTTGTTTTCCTTTTTTACCTTTCAGTGAATTACAAGGATCACCTTAAAACAAAATTCTTTGTATTCTAGCAGCAAACTTTCTTCTGCAGTTGAGAGTTGATATGCACTTCTTGAGAAGGAACTGTGAACATATCGGGTTTAACATGTTCCTGTACCCTTAAGAAAAAAGCAACTGACTAAGACAATGTTGCTATTCGTACATATAAAGAGGTACCAGGTCTAACACTGTGAGGTTTGAAAAGGAATGGAATTAATCAGGAAAAGCTGTTGAGAAGGGGTAACTCAAAGTATTAATTCAAACGAAGAGAGATACGCAGAATGTTAATAGGAAGTTATAAGGAGGCTTTCATAAAAATGCAATATTTGTAGCAATACTCAGAATGCAAAAAGAATAGACCAATGACAGACAACATAAAACATTTATCTGGACCAAGAAGGCAGTCGCGATAAGACTTGGAAAAAAGAAATAATGGCCTTTGTTGGTACATGGACATGAGAAACCTGTTTTCAGGCAAGAAATAATTAAAACATATAATAGCAATGAACTTTAAATATTTTACATTATATCTTTAGTGAATCTTTCCACATAATCAGAAGAAATACATTTTGTTGTTAAAACACTAGCTTTTTTTTTTTTTTTTTTTTTTTTTTTTTTTTTTTTTTTGAGACAGTGTCTTGCTCTGTTGCCCAGGCTGGAGTGCAGTGGCAAGATCTCAGCTCCCTGCAACCTCCGCCTCCTGGGCTAAAGCGATTCTCCTGCTTCAGCCTCATGAGTAGCTGGGACTACAGGTGTGCACCACCATGCCAGCCTTATTTATTTTATTTTGTATTTTTAGTAGAGATGGGATTTCACCACTGTGGCCAGGCTGGTCTCAAACTCCCAAGGTGATCCACCTGCCTTAGCCTCCCAAAGTGCTGGATTTACAGGTGTGAGCCACTGCACCCAGCCAAAAGATTAGCTTTTAGAAAGACAAATACCACTGGCCTTTACTTATATGTTTTTAGAGCAATGGTTGTAATGTTTTCCATGCTCACAGAAATATTTTATAAACTCTTTCCTGAATAACTAATGTCAGGAACCAAGAGCTGGAGTTAACCCTAGCTATGGTGTCATATTGAATTATGATATATAATCAACCAGATCCCAAAGTTACCCATAGTTGAAGACTCTAACAAAGTAGGAACAGGAGTATATATCTGATCGCCCTTCATAATATAGTGGAATGAATCACACCTTTGAATTTTTTAGTGGGTAGATATAAATTTTTTGTGTTCTGGGCTGCATTTCTATAAAGGCAGCTTTCATTCAACCTGTTAAATAAACATATTTGTAATTTTGGTTATCTTCTCAAAACCATACTTTCTCAGCTGTTCTTCCTCGCATCTTGAACAATATAATTTGCTTTCACTGCTTTTCATATGCTACCAGGATAACTTTAGCATTGGGGGTTTTATATGTAGAAGTGGATTTGCATAGATCTATACAAGTATTACCAGAAAAATGCTATACTTAGAATGATAAATTCACCAGCAGAAAACAAGCCATGACTAATAACAATTTTAAAGAATTTTTCAGGGTTTTCTATGAGTGAGTGTCCACATGTAGATATTGGCAGTGCAATACAGAACAGTGCTTTCTGATGATAACTTAAAATTTAATCCAGTATATGTTGATTGTAAATAAATAAGAGTTCATGAAAATACGTGATTCTTCATGTCAAATACAGCCTCCCCCACTATTCCATCTCCTGCATCCTTTGCTAATTACAGGATGTTATTCATCATGGATTTTCCTATTTCTCTCAGTTGTAAAGATGAAATGCATATAGTTTTGTTAATGTAAATATTGATACTTCCCAGGGTATGTTTTGTTTGTTAAAATTTGCTTTTTTCCCTTAAATGTACTTGCTTGGCATTCCTCTAATGTCATCAACATAAATATGTTTTAAGGTAAGGAGAATGCTGACTTGGTCCCATTCTTAACTCTGAAAATATTAAAAGCACTGCTCCTGGTCATAGTTTCTGCTTCTCTGTATCCTTGTAGAACTCAGGAGAGTAGTCTGGGTATAATTAAGGTCAAGCACTCAGAATTTATAATAATGGCATCTGTGTTACCAACTTCCTCATGACTACTATTAAATACAGCACCTGTACTGGTTGCACCACATATCTCCTGCACAGCCCACCCAATCCTACAAGAGAAGGATTAGTTTTATTGTAATAACTCTTGGCTTATATTTAATGGTGCTTGTGGTCTCTTACTGATCAAAAACCTTTCAATAAGCAGGATTTATTGATCTGGCACTTAGGTCCCTCTTCAATCTAGCCGCAGTTTATCTTTCCAATGCTATTCTATACTACTACTAACAAAATCCCATCTCATAAGTATAAGGCTACATATTGCTACTTAGAAATACAAGTTGTATATCTATAGTTTTGATTATTGTTTCACTTTACTTAAAATTGTCTTTTTTCCCCTGGCTGTGGGTCTATCTAAGCCTGGCTCTTTCAGGTTCCAGCTAGAGTTCCCAGGCACCATACCATTTGAATTCTTGGACATAGATTGTCCACATCACTTATTAAGTACTTATCAAATACTTTCTTATATCGGTATATTTTATTTTTATACCTAGTTTCCCAAAAGAGACAATAGCCCCATGATGTCATATATGCTATCTTACTATCTTATATAGATTCACATCACATCATTATGGCCTGGTAAGGTGATTTACATATGGTATAGGAATTATTAATATTTGTGTAACTAACTTGATAACTCTAGGCTTATTGCCATTTCATAAGGAGTGCATTTCTAGCCTTTTAGTAACCACACTGCCTAGAAATGAGAAGTTATCCATTTTTAATATTATTCTAAAAGAAGAAGGTAATAGAAAACTCCAGAAATCTAAGAAAATATTTCATATTTTTAAATTGCAACTCTCACACTCCATCTTCAAATCTCTGTAATCTAGCCCCCATTACTTACTATCATAACAGTTATATGCATGTGTGCTTTGCTCTTCAAATACCATAAGCTGGAAAAGTAAATTTTAGCTCTTTATTGAAATTCTGAAATGTCATTAGTATCATTTTCTCATTTACTTATCAATTCTTTTTTTAATCAAATGCTTATTATTTGTTGAGCAATTAGGCTTCTTACATTGACCTGAATACATACAGGCCCTGTCAGAAACAAATTTTAGTGCTAATAACAGCTTTCATGTAACACATCATCAGACCTTGTTATTTTGAAGAAATGACATGACTAAAAATGGGGTCCTTTAATCTGAACTTTCTGAAGATTTACTAGGAGAGATGAATAAATAAATTAACACCAAGATTTTTTATCACTATGCTGATGAGAACATATAATTATGAAAGTTTTCTTTAGATTTAAAAGTTTTATCATGTTAACAATTCTGAGTCCCTTTTTCATGTTTTTCCTATGAATACATCCCGAATGCATCCAGAGTGTAAAAGATTTTGTTTGTGCTTTTCTTTTCTTTTTTTTTTTTTTGAGACATAGTCTCGCTCTTTTGCCCAGGCTGGAGGGTAGTGGCACGATTTCGGCTTACTGAAACCTCCGCCTCCCGGGTTCAAGCGATTCTCCTGCCTCAGCCTTCGGAGTAGCTGGGACTACAGGCATGTGGCACCACGCCCAGCTAACTTTTTGTATATTTAGTAGAGACGGGGTTTCACCATGTTAGCCAGGATGGTCTTGATCTCCTGACCTTGTGATCCGCCTGCCTCGGCCCCCCCAAAGTGCTGGGATTATATGGCATGAGCCACCATGCCCAGCTTGTTTGTGGTTTTCTACCTTATTTTGTGACATTGAGACTTGTGGTTTGTGTCAAAAGTCATAATTTTGAGCTGAAAATTACAAAGCATACAGGAATTAAATAACCTGCTGATATACATGGCACAGATCACACTGAGGAATTCCTGTTATATTTAAAAGGGGACTTCAAGAAAACCCTTATGTTGTCTGTTTTACAAGAAGAAATTTATATTTTGTAGTTAAAACATTGAATATGTGCACATACACACAGAGACTTCTTGTTTAAATGTCTACAGGAAAATAGATGAAAGTATAAAATAATACCAGAAATTTTCCATTTAATGATAGCTGGTTGAAGATATACACTTACTTATATTTTATCCTAAAATACCAACAAATTGATGTTAAAGAATTAACAGTGAGACAAGAAGTTTCAGCAATTTTTAGAAGATTGAAAGTAGATAGAGGATTGGCAAGTGAGCAGAAAGGAAAACCCAAAAACTTATGAACATGCAGAGGAGGATTCCAAAGTACAAATTTGGCAGGTAACATCCTCTAACAACAGGATTTGGAAGTGGAAGGAATGTGTGAGGTAGAGGACCAAAAACTGGAATAGGTTGAACAATCTGTTTAAGGAACAGGTAGCTTGCCTTAGCCTCTTCCAATGGTCTCCACATCAGGCTTCTCCCCCAAACAGGCAAGCCTCTTGAGGCACAGGTCAGCATCAGCAGTTTCTAAACAGAAGATTAAATTAAAATTTGCATACTGAAAAATTAAAAACTGCATACTATGCAGCAAGACCACCAGCTCCTTCCCAGTTCAGCCCCAAAATGCTGTGGTTTGGTGCCTAATAATAAGAAGACTTGCAGACCCAAAGCAAAATCCTACAGACTCCTATACATAGAGCATTTGGAAGGCACTGCCCCATCATCTTATGTGAGAGACAACAAATGACCAGCACACTAATGTATAACAAAGCACCAATCAAGTTTTAGCTCCTCCTATTTAATATGAAAAGACAACCAGGGATCACCAGACTTTTAAGGAAGGCTCCAACATGAAAGTTAAAGATAAGAATAAACATAATAGAAAATCTTTAAGTCATCCTCACTGGCTGTTCCCAGTGTTGGGAATTCTCTTTCTCATCTTTGCTCTGTTCACTCCTTCACTTCATTCACTGGCTGCTGTTCAAATGTAAGATACTGAGATATCTTTTCTTACCATTACATCTAGAATAGTGTTACCCACTGCCTCACCCTCACCCAGTTCTTGGTCATTCTATTTATTTACTTGAATTTATTTTCCTTATTATATTAATCACTGCACAGATATTTTGGTATATTTATATATTTGTTGTCCATCTCCTCCATTACAAAATAAACATTCATAAGGGGAAGGAATATTGTTTATAGACAATAATTGTTTTTAATATTTACTTATTTATTTAGTGAAGATGAGTAACTTGAATAAAGCAAAAGCAATGTAGAAAATATAATTTTAAAACTCTGATAATTCAGAGAACTAAGAAAACTTATAGCCAAGACACAATTAAAATAAGAGCTATATAAAAAGAACAATTAGAGAATAATTAGCTCTTGGAAGTTCAAAACGTTAAAAATTTTAAAATAGTTCACTATTAGACTCGCAAGACTTGGTAAAGAAAATCTCAGAGAGTAAAGAGAAATGAGAAATATGAACAGTGGGAAAGAAAAGATAAGAAGGTGAGAGATCAGTCCTGGAAGTCAACTGTCTGACTAACAGAATTTCCTGTAGTAATAGAAAGAGTGGAAGGGAGGAAAAAATTAAGGATATAATGCAATAATATTGTCTAGACTATAATTAAAGGGCCCATATATTGAAAGGCCCAAAGATGCTCTACAAGCTAAATGAAAAACAGCAACAACAACAACAAAAACACCCAGTTACTTCCTTTAGAGAATTTCAGAACTGGGAGCTGAATGTATTTCCTACATAAAGGAACCTCAGGCTAGGTGCAGTGGCTCACACCTGTAATCCCAGCAGTTTGGGAAGCCGAGGCGAGTAGATCACTTGAGGCCAGGAGTTTGAGACCAGCCTGGCTAACATGGTGAAACCTCATCTCTACTAAAAATACAAAAATTAGCCAGGTGTGGTGGTGCATGCCTGTAAACCATGATACTCAGGAGGCTGAGGCAGAAGAATTGCTTGAAGTTGGGAGGCGGAGGTTGTAGTGAGCTGAGATCATGCCACTGCACTCCAGTCTGGGTGACAGAGGAAGACTCCGTCTCAAAAAACAAAAACAAAAACAAAAACAAAACAAAAAAAGCAAGAAACCTCAAATATATTAAAGGAAACCAAAATAAGGTGTAGAGTATATATATATGTCTTAAAACCTAAAAAATACCCCTAGTATTTTATATTATTAATGGGTATGGATATGTAAATATTTAGGAAAACTGTAAAAAAAAAGTCACGTGAACACTAATTCTAAAATCATGATAGTAATTATCCCTGAAGAAGAAGTGAAGAAAGTAATATTTAGGAGAAGTACAGAGAAGGCATCATTTATATTGTATAAAATATTCTATTAAAAATGACTTCAGTCTGGGTGTGGTGGCTTACACCTGTAATCCTAGCACTTTGGAAGGCTGAGGCAGGCAGACCACTTGAGGTCAGGAGTTCAAGACCAGACTGGCCAACATAATGAAACCCTGTCTCTACTAAAAATAGAAAAATTAGCCAGACGTGCTCACTTGAACCCAGGAGGTGGAGGGTCTAGTAAGCCAAGATTGTGCCACTGCACTCCAGCCTGGGCGACAGAGCGAGACTCTGTCAAAAAAAAAAAAAAAAAAAAAAAAGACTTCAAGCAAATATAGCCTAAGGATTAATGAAACTGGGTGGTGGGTATAATGACGTTATTATAATATCCTTTATACTCTTCAATGGTTTTGGAACTATATCATTGCTTTTTTAAAAACAGATGCAAAATACCAAAAGAAAGAAAGAATGGAAACAGGTTACATTTTTTAAAAATGTAGGGAAGCAAAATGATATTGGACTTCTCAACTGCAAAAACAGAAACTAGAAAATAACGGAGAAATTTCCACATGATTCTGAGAGAAAATCGTATTTAACCAAGCAGTATAAATGTGTCCATCCAAAATATCAGTCAATTAATATAAAAATGTAATGAAAGCACATTCATCAGACTTAAGAAACTAGTGACTAACATGCTCTGTAAAACAAGAGAAGAAACCAATTAAGAGAAAGACACGAGAAATGTTAAAGAGAAATTATACCAATACTTGTTAAGAATGGCAAGATGGATTTTATTTGAACTACTGTAGTAGGGAAGAGAGACTTCAATATTGAACTGACATCATCTCCAAGTAAAACAAACAAAGAACACTTTACTCAAGACCATTGCAATGGGAGAGAAGACCACTGCAGAAGAGAGACAGACTGAACTCAGCTCCACTGAAAAGAAAGCAGAAGGATTATTAAATGCTGACATGAACCAGTAGGGAGTACATTAGTGGGGAAGTTGGTGAATGTGTTTAGGCCATCTGAGTTTGCTAAATGTCACTTACCTGAGTTAGGCTCCTACTCTCCTACACAGATTGAAATAGAGGTGCTATCATTTTTCACAATTACATTTCAAAGGGATATCTCTCATGTCCTTGAGAAAGACATTCCTGAGTTGTAGAAAATTTACATCTCAAAAATAGGGAGAAAAAATTGATAATTGCAAAATTTCTAAAGTAAATGCTCTAAGAAAAGGGAAGTTAGAGGCCCATATTGAGGAAGAAATCTCTTTAAAGTTTAGTCGAGCTGATAGGAACATTAAGGTCATGTTGGTCAGATCCAGGAAACTGGGGGTTCAACATGCAAGAGAACTGATGATATTGGGTGGAGGCCTACATTAAATTATGTGCATCAAGTTCATGGAGTGTGATGGAAGCCAAAGCCTGGAGGATTCCAAGTCATAGTTCACCTGAAAAAGAACAAACAAAAAAGGCATTAAATGATCCTGAAGTATTGGACCATGTAGAAATGAATATTGAATGAGTCCTTACAGTTCTATTGGTCAATTTGAAAATAATTAGTGGTAGATATGCCACAAAGAGATGATGAAAATCTACCCAAAAAATGTGAAGAAATCAAAAAAACAAAGATAGCTGGAAAATCCCAAAATACATGGAGATTAAACAACACATTCTAAATAGCACATGGGTCAAGAATAAATCTCAAGACAAATTGTAAAATATTTTGAACTAAATGGAAATTAAAATATCACTTTTTAAATTTTGTAGAATGTAGTGAAAGCACTGCTTTGAGGGAAATTTATAGCATTGAATGCATATTAAAACAATCTAAAATCAATAAGCTAACCTTCCAATTTATCACTCTAGGAAAAAAAAGAGCAAAGGAAATCCAAACTAAGCAGAAGGAAAGACCTACTACAAATTAGAAAATAAATCAATAAAATTAAAAATAAGAAATCAGTAGTGAAAACCAACAAAACTATAAACTGCTTATTTGAAATGATTAATAAATCATTAGGCCTTTAGGCTAAGAACAAAAGAGGGAAGTTAAGAATTACTAATATTATCAATGAAAGCAGGAATATAACTACAGATATCTGGACAAGAAAGGATAATAATGGTATATTGTTAACAATTCTATATCTACAAATTTAACAACAAAGATAAAATGGAACAATTTTTGAAAGATGCAGTCTAAAAAAACTTGTAGAAATAGACAAATTGAATAGGCTTTTATCTATTAAAAAATTGAATCAGCAATTATTAACTTTTTAAAGCAGAAAGCACCAGACCTAGATAGGTTCACTGGTGGATTCTACCAAACACGTAAAGAAGACATTATACCAATTCTCTACCATCTTTTTCAGAAGATAGAAGCAGAGACACTAACTTCGTAACACAGTCTATGATGCTAGCATCACCGTAATACCAAAACCAGACAAAGGCAGCACAAAAAAAGAAAACTGTAGTCCAATATCCCTCATGAACACAGATGCAAAGACTTTCAACATATAACAGTCAGTATAGCAAATTGAATCAGAGAATGTATAAAAAAAATTATACACCACAACAAACTGTGATTTGTCCCAGGTATGCAAAGCTGGTTCAAAATTCATGTAATACATCACATCCACAAACTAAAGAAGAAAAATTACAATATCTATAGATGTACATCGTATCAATAGATGTACCTCACATCAGTAGATGTATAAAAAGCATTTGGCAAAATCCAGCATCCATTCATGATAAAAACAAACAAAAAAACTCTCAGTAAACTAAGACAGAGAAACTTCCTCCACTGGATAAAGAGTACCTATAAAAAAATCTATAGCTAACATCCTAACAGTGAGAACTAGAAGCTTTTCTACTAAGATCAGGAACAAAGCAGGGTTATTCCCTCTCACTACACCTCTTAATATTTTACTGGAAGTTGTAGCTAACACAAGACAAGAGAAGGAAATAAAGTTACACAGATTAGGAAGGAAGAGATAAAACTATTTTTGCTCACAGATAAAATGATTGTCTGTGTAGAAAATCTGCAGGTATTGGCCCCCAAAATACTCCTGTAGCTAGTAAGCAGTTACAGCAAAGTTTCAGGGTACAAGGTTAATATGCAAAAGCCAATTGGTTTCCTTTGTACTACCAGTAAACAGAATTTGAAATTTAAAATACAATACCATTTATATTACCACACACACACAAAAGGAAATATATAGGTATCAATTTGTCTTCAACTATTTTGTGCTGCTGTAACAAAATACTACAGACTAAGTAATATATAATTTTATAATTTATAATTGTGCATTTAGGCTGCATCATAATATGGCAAAAGGTATCATATGGCAGAAAGGCAAAAAGACAGGGAGATATATGAGGGGAAAGAGAACAAAAAGAAGGCCAAACTCACCCTTCTGTAGCAAACCCACTCCCATGGTGGCAACATTAGCTCATTCATGACAGTGGAGCAACGCATGGCCTAATCACCTCTTGTTATGCCCCACCTCCCAACACTGTTGCACTGGGTATTAAATTCACATGCTTTTGGGGTGACATACTCAAACCATAGCACTTCTGGTCCGCCAGAATCTATGTTCACCTCACATGCAAAATATATTCATTTGATTTCAATAACACCAATGTCTTAACTTGTTCTAGCACCAACTCAAAAGTCCAAAGTCAAGAGATTCATCTAAATCAGATATGGATGAGACTCAAAGCACAATTCTTCCTGAGGCAAATTCCCTCTAGCTTGAGCCTATGAAATCAAAACAAGTTATCTATTTCCAAAATACAATGGTGGGACAGACATAAGGTAGACATTCCCATTCCAAAAGGGCGAAATAGGTAAGAAAAGAGGGGTGACTTGTCTCAATAAAGTCCAAAACCCAATAGGGCAAACAACATTAAATCTTAAAGCTGGAGAATAATCTCTGTTTTGACCCTATGTCCCATCTTTTTAGTACACTGAGGTAGGAGTTAAGCCGCCAAGGCTTTAGGCAGCCCCACCTCTATTGCTTTGCTGGGCTCAGCCTGTATAGCAGCTCTCACAGGATAGGGTGTCATGACTACAGCTCTCCGGGTGGTTGTTGCAGACTGGTAGCTCTGCAGTTCTGAGGTCTTGGGGATGGCCCCACTACTGTGGCTCCATCAGACCTTGCCCTAGGGAGGACTCTCTGCAGTAGCCTCACTACCTGTATTCCACTAATCATTGCTTAGTGACTCTGCCCCGAAGCAGGTTTCTGCCTGGGCCCCAGGCTGCCTAATGTATTCTTTGATTAGTGGATGCTGCCATAACTCCATAGCTCATGAACTTGGCACGTCTGCAGAGTCAGCACCACATAAATGCCTCAAGGCTTACTGCTTGAGCCCTCAGGAACAGTGGCCCGAGCTGTACTTGAGGCTGCTTAAGCCACAGCTGTGGGAGACAAGGAGACAAGCTTCTTGAATGTGGGGAACAGAGTTATAAACACAGGGAACAGAGGCCCAAAGTGGCCCTAGTCAAGGAGCTTGTGGAGGGCATCCTAGACCTGTCTCCCAAAATCATTCTGCCCTCCTACAGCTCTGGGTCTATGATAAGAGGGAAAGTCTCAAAGATCACAGAAATGCCTTCAGAATCATTTTCCATTATCTTGATGAATAACACCTGTCTTTCTTCTAGCCATACTGATCTCCTTATCAAATGTGTACTTGGCCATACCCTTGGATTTCTTTCCTAAAAAAGGTCTTTTATTCTGTACCATATGGTCAAGGCTGAAACTCCTTTAAATCCCTAAGTGTGTTTCCCTTTAAATCATTTTATTTAAATCTAGTTTTGTCTTTAAATAATTTATTTCTTCTTGGATTTTACTGTATGAAGTTAAAAGAAGCCACACAACTCCTGTAATATTTTGCTTAGAAATTTCTTCTGCCAGATATCCTGGATCATCACTCTTAAATTCCATCTTCCATAAAGCCCTGGGGCATGGATACAATTCAGCAAAGTTCTCTGCCACTTTATATCAAGGATGGCCTTTACTCCAGTTTCCAAAAAGATGTTTCCCATCTCCATCTGAGACCTCATCAGAATGGCCTCTACTGCCCATATTTCTACCAGCATTCCTATCATAACCACTTAAGTAATCTATATGAAGTTTCAGACTTTCCCTGTAGCTCTCCTTCTTCTGAGTTTTCACCAGAATCGTCTGTAATCCTCCATTTATAGCAATACAAGCTTTTTCTAGCATTCATTTCAAAACTGTTTCAGCCTCTACTCATTACCTAGCTCTCAATCGTTTCCACATTTTCGGGTATTCGTTATAGTACCACTCAATTCCTCTGGTACCAGTTTTCTATCTTAGTTTGTTTTGGGCTACTATGACAAAACACCCCAGACTGGGTAATTTACAATAAACAAGAATTTATTTTCTCACAATTCTGGAGGCTGGGCACTCTAAAATCAAGGGGCCGGCATCCATCAAAGTCCTTCTTGTTGTGTTATAATATGGCAGAAGGCATCACCAGGTAGAAGGGCACAGAGAGTGCAAGAGAGGAAGTGAAAAAAAGGCCAGTCTCACCCTTTTATAACAAACCCACTTGCATGATAATGAAGCCCCACACACTCCAGTCATAGCAGCATTAGTCCATTGGTGAGCCTGGAGTCCTCATGACCTAATCATGTCTCATTAGGCTTCACTTCCCAACACTATTGCTTTGGGGGATGTTTCCTACACACAATTTTGGGGGATACATTCAAACTACAGCAAAATCTAGCAAAATATGTACAAGATCTATATGAGGAAAATTGCAAACTTCTTTTAAAAGGAATCAAATAAATAATCGTGTGAAATTCAATGTTTATGGATAGAAAGACTCAAGATTTTCAAGATTTCAGTTAATCCCAGCTTGATCGATAGATTCATCACAATCCAGCAAGTAATTTTATGGATGTTGGCAAACTGATTCTAAAGTATATAGAGAGAGGTGAAAGATCCAGAATAGACGAAACTATATTGAAGGAAAACGATAAAATTTGAGGACCAATAACACCTAACCTCAAGAGTTAATATAAAGTTACAGTAATTAAAACAGTGTGGTATTGGCAAAAGAAGAGACAAATAGATCAATGGAACAGAATAGAGAACCTAGAAGTCCACCCACACAAATATAGTCAACTGTTTTTTGCAAGAGAGGAAAGGCAATGCAAAGGGGAAGACAGTCCTTTCAATAAATGGTGCTGGAATAATTGCACATCCACATGCAAAAAAAAAAAAAAAAAAAAAAAATCTAGACACAAACCTTGTGTCCTTGACAAAAATTAACTCAAAATGGGTCAAAGACCTAAATGTAAAATGCAAAACTGTAAAACTCCTAGAAAATGACACAGGAGAAAATCTAGATGAACTTGGATTTGGCAATGACTTTTAAAATATGACACCAAAGGCATGATCCATGAAAAAAAGCATTAACAAGCTGTCCTTAGTTAAAATTTAAAAACTTCTTTCTGAAAGTATTATCAAAAGAATGAAAAGACAAGCCATAGACTGGTAGAAAATATTGCAAAAGACATATATGATAAAAGACTACCAGGTATGGTATTTTAATCTATATTTTAACAATATAATTTTTATCTTTTTGAGTCTGAAATAGGCAAAGAACTCTTAAAACTCAATGATGAAAAGCAAACAACCCAATTTAAAAATGAGCCAAAGATCTTAGCAGACATCTCACTGTAGAAGATAAACAGATGGCAAATAAGTATATGAAAATAGTCTCAACATCGTATGTCATCAGGGAAATGCAAATTTTGTAATATTCATACAACCAAATTTTAGAGAAAATTATACAGAATGGTGAGGAATAGAAAGGGAATATTTCTAAAAATGTTACTTCACACATTTCATACTAGAAATAGGAGATAATACTTAAATGATAAATGAATAATGTCAACATGAGCATGATATTTACAAAACAAAAGTAAATACTTAAAGAAACAGTTATAAAAAATGAAAGTGGTTGCCTTTCAATAGGGTACTATGAAATGGAAAGAACCGTGGACAAGAAATGCTATTTTTGGCTACAGCTTTATGGTAAATGTAATTATTTAAAATATATGTAGTTAATTGATTTTCTAAGTAATAAATAATATAGAAAGCATATAAATAAATGTATGAAGTAATAAAATATTTTACTTGTCATCCAGACAATAGGTTCAAATGACCTTTAGAAATCTCAAACGTAAGTTAAAAGAGAAAATACCAAAAAAGTAAATAAATTTAACAAAAGAGAAAACTTAGAACTGACCCTCTGGAGAAATGAAAAATAAAATAAAAAAGAGAGAGAGAAATTAGAGTTTGGTGTTACCATTTGGATTATGCCTGCTCCCCTAAACTTATGTTTATGGCCTAACCCCCAGTACCTCAGAATGTGACTTCATGTGGAAAAAGGATCATTTCAGATGTGACTACTTAATGAGGTCATTAGAGTGGGCTCTAGGCCAATACAACTGGAGGCCTTATATTTTAAAAACAGAAATTTGGATACAGCTTGGCACCCGGGGAAGTTGCTATGTGGAATGAAGGCAGAGATTAGGGTGATGGTTCTACAAGCCACAGAATGCCAAATATTACCAGCACACCATCAGAGGCATGCAATGGATCCTTCTTCACAGAAAGCCCCTTGAAAGAACCTTACTTACACCAGGATCTTAGAATTTTGGCCTCTAGAACTGTGAGAAAATAAGTTTCTTCTTAAGCCACCCTATTTGTGGTACTTTGTTATGGCAGCCCTAGCAAACTAATATAGTTACTGTATTAGAAAGAGGAGCTAAAGATGGCTCAGATGTCTGTTAAATCCAGCATAATTCGCTGCCAGTATTCTTGAAATTATGGAAGAAAAATCAATTAACGATACCATCCAATATATTATAAATATTTTATATGAAATATTTATATAATTGTTAATTCCTCTTAAGAAATTAGTATTAGGAAAGAAGAGATTGTCTTTCTTGGGGCCATGGTATTCTTCATTCTTTTAGATGATGATAGCTGTGTTCCCATTGTGTCTCCATTATTACCAACAAGTCAGTTCTGAATTGAGTATCCAAGTGAGGCACTTACTCATGTCTTGGTTTCCTGGCTCACTAGCTATCATCTCCATTTTTTTGGTTCTTATTTTTTACCCTTGTTTTAATGGTATATGTTTGCTTTATTATGACAAGACTCTTTTTTTTGGCAGTAGTTAGGATATAAATAATTAGTAAATAAATGATCACTTCTGATTACCATAGCTCTAGTGGCCAACAAACTCAACTAACATCAATGCTTTTTAAAAACTTGTCTCTGCAGCTATGGTGACTAACTGTCCTGGTGTGCTTGGGACTAAGGGGCTTCCAAGGACAAGGGACTTTCATTGCAAAATTCATGACAGTCCCGGGCATAATGGGATAGTTACCTATCTGAACCACTTCTGTGTCTAACAGCTCACAAGCATGTTTTCACTGTCACTGCTTTGGGCTCTGGTCCCTGTTTGCAATTATGATTACCCCTAATAAACTCATACATAGTTGAGTTGATTATTGAATCATCTTGCTTTGTATGATAAATTTTGCTTCAACCAATGAGAAGCAATAATGCAAATAACCAAGTTCTAAGTCTCAGAAAATCCTCCTTACCATTGTTTCAAATGGAAACTTGTGGTTGGTCTTGACTTCCTGTGAGAGAGGGAGGTTTACCGAGACCTTGAGCTATGGATATTAGATATCACCAGGGATTAGGGAACTGGATTGTGTTCTTGCTGGGCTGTCCAAGCCTGGCTGCCCTCATGGCTTAGTCTCTTGTTGGTTGCCCTTTTGAATGGTTTTCTCTTTTCTCTTAGGCCCTGGGGATTTATCCAGTTTGCTTTGGTAACCAAACATTAAATGATCATGATTTTGAGAAAAATAACATAAAAAACATTCCTTTCTCATGATTTCCCCCACAGGGCTCCCCATGGACCTGATTCTTCTGCTACCATTGGATAAAATAAATAGCAGATCTCCTACTTTTGTGGTTACTTCCAGATAATAACAAGTTATCCAAAGTCACTATAGTTTCCAAAGAAGTCTGTGTTCAGAAATTAATGTCTGACATTATAATAAAAAATCCAAATTGTATTCAAAATTAAACTTCTTCCTTCCTGTAGGGAAAGTTGTATGCTTTGTGTTTCACTTCGATCTTTACTAACTAACCCCATCCCTATCTCACAACTATTATCTGAGATCTCAGACCCCACCATGCTTGGAGTATAGCAATGGAGAGGAGATAAGGGAGCAGGAGAGATATCTAGGCTAACAGAATTTGGTGGCTAATGAGATTGAAAAGTGTCTCGAGACACTTTTCTGGGGTTTTCAGAGACCCTGCATTGCATTAAATATCTCATCTGTAGGTACATGATTTAGTTGGTGTCTCTTCCATACTTACTATATTTTAACACTCCCTCCCTCATGCCCTAAGAATAGGTGATGGTAAAGATTCAGCCATCACCCCCCTACCCACCAGTCTTCTTAGAAATCCTTGGAAGAAAACCCACGTTAGCTCTCTCTCATGACAGCCCACATCTGCTACCAAGGATCATTACTTTAGATCCATGATATGTAGCAGTGCACTTTCCTTTCTCATACTGCCTAATTTTTGTTTGACCACTTCTCAGGTAGCTCTAGCCACAGACTCTATTTTGAGATTTATCAGGCCTGAGTCAGACACTAGCTGCTGTGTTTCCTAGGTTCCAAAGATACTTTGAAGCTTTTCTCAACAGGCTTGCAAAAAAAAGAGATCACCCCTACCCCACCCAACCACCACCATGGAGATGATGACATTCATAGCACACCTTTTTCCAAAGAAGTTCTACTTGCAATCTCCAAATTCCCTGGCCATTTCAACTCAACCTTTCCATATGTTCAATGTGAGTGTGTGGCTCCACGTCACAAACGATGACTTAAGACGTTATCTGTACAGGGTCTGCCTAGTCCATCAGAACCTCACTTTGGAGTGAGTAGTTGGCACCTATTATCTTGTGGCCATAACTATCACTGAAACTGATAGAGTGCAATTTCCCATAACTGACCTTTTTTTCTTAGAACTTATCTTCCTTCATGACTTGCTGAATAATAAAATGCTTTTGATGCATTTCCTTTAGCCGTTCTTTCCCTGGAAGACAACATTTGCCCATGTGCCATTGATAGCTCCAAGTTGGCATAGGTGATTGCAAGCTCTCTGAGTGCAAAATTCTACTTTTATTCCATTTACAGCTGGGTATCACCTAACATGGTGAACTTCATCTAAATAGTTGATTTATTATCTCCACCCTACAAGAATTTGATAATAATATTTCCTAAAAAATATTTACTTCTTAATTCTTAAGAAACATTATGACCAATTTCACAAAAAGTGATAAGATTGAAGAGACACTGATTTGCCCAAATAACAGGAAGAGGGGGAAGCAAGTAATATTATGTTTTCTTAAGTAAGGGTCTTACAAATTCAAGCATTAGCCACAATATTATGTTAAATGTTGCAGAATTGAAGTATAGCTTTAAGATTTAAAATGTGTGAAAAGTAAACATTTTGAGAGAAAAAAATAAAGCAGATTTAGAATAGCATGAACTTCACTTGATAAAAGTTTAAATCCTTCCCTTTGTAATGGGAAAGACCCTTGAAAGGTAAAGACTCTTCAGTGTTACAATGAATATAAATCATTAGTAATATAAATCACTAGGAATTTCTCCAATAAAATAATTTGATCTATATTATTATAGTCAGGAAAAACCTTCATAAGTAGGATGAATCCATAGATGCATAATTAATTTAGCTGTGTCCTCGCTTCCTGTAAAATACAGCATGGGGTAGGAAAAAAAAAACAAACAAACCCACATTTCCAAATGGGAAAGTCAAAGCAAGTCAGTCCCAAGTAAGCTGACTAACATTTATAAAGTAATTCTCATCCTTGTAAATTGCCTTCTTGCAGGAAACAGACCTTATCCTGACTTTTAATATATCAATGCACCGATCTTGGTGGATGGAGAATGGACCAGGATGTACGGTGACGTCAGTGACACCTGCCCCAGACTGGGCCCCAGAAGACCATCGCTACATCACGGTCTCAGGGTGTTTGCTGGAGTACCAGTACATAGAAGTGGCTCATAGTTCCCTCCAGATTGTCCTCGCAGTAAGTGTTGGCAGCCAACCGCTCCTTCTAGTGCCTCTGGGGTTGTTTTATTTCTGTGCGAACTCAGTGCACACAAATGGAATCTGTGGGTAAAGTGTGGCCTTTTTGCTTTTTCCTCATTAATGCGACTTTTAACAGGAAATCCTCAGGTTAAACTAAACCATCCTCTGGACTTAGTGTGCTGATTTTCTTCGACAATTAGTAAATACCCTTTGTTATCATCAGCATTTTACATAGGAAATCCAATCAGTCAAGATGTGATTACGTGACTTTTGGTAGACTTTTCCAAGGATTCTGAAGGGATGATCAGAGATTTTTTTCATAACGTTCTACAGTACTCAAAATTATAAGATTTCCATAAGTGTTTTCTCTTTTAGTGCTTCTTTTGGCTGTGCTGCTAGCCCTGGGATTTCTCTTTTTCATTTGCCCTATCTCCTTCTTCCTTCCTAGATTTCTCCCAGGCACCATCCATCACCTTTAATCTCCCACTTTTTTTCCAGAAAAAATCACATTTTCTATAGATTCTAATTCTAAGACATTCATGCCCCCATTTTTCATAGTACTGTAACAATAAAAAAAAAAAAAAACCTCCTTCTACCAGGAGGCAGTAGCACTTACAAATAACATATGTGTACAACATATGCCTATTTTATATAAAATACATGATTTAACATTGTATTACTATGACAAAGAGATAAATTAAAACACCTCTTTCTCAAGAAGGCCAACTGCATAATATCATGAGATGTATAAAGTTAAGGCAACTTTATGACACATGAATCCATTTATTCATTACAGATCTTAAATGCAGAACTGCATAGATTTTTCTTAGATTCTATGTGGATGTGCAATTGATGTGCATAGTATTAAAATTGTTAGCAACAAATGATGCAAGCAGAATCTGCTTTTTACCTCTTTAGTTAATTATTTTGGAAATGATATTGACTCACAGTTCTTGGATAACAATAAATAATAGTTTCTGGGTAGAGTGGCATACAATTCAGAGAAACATAAAATTCTTCTGGAATTAAAAAAAAAAACTATGTGAGTGTGTCAGTGTTAGATGATATAACTAATATATCCTTGTTATATTTTTAATGGAATGTGTGTGCTTATGTGTGTGTGTGTGTGTTGTGATAGACTAAGGAAGCTAAGTATGCTATGTTAGTAAACACTTCCAAATTCTCTGTAAATAAAAGTCATGAAGGTTTCTTCTTGTGTGTCAGCAGGAGGCTCCACTGATCACTGTCAGTAAGGAAACAAGGCTAGTTGAGTAGCCAGTATCTCCATCATCATGGGTTACTGTGCCAGAAAGTAATAATAGCTGTGGAGGGTCTACATGGGCACACACATGCTTCTGCTTGGGAGGAAGGCTCATTGTTCACAGTTCATTGTGCGGAATTGGTCACACAGTCCCACCCAATCACAGAATGGACAGTAAAGAGGAAGGGCTGTTTATTTGGAAATCAGCATAAATGATGTCCAGAACATTTGAATTATGTTCTTTGCTAAAACACTAAGTAATATCCCTTGAATATGTTCAACCATAGACACTCCTTCCAATTAACAAACTCTTCTGTAATAGTTTTAAATCTAAAAGTGCTTACTTTGCTTATCCTGAAGTAAAAATAAGTTAGACTTGACAGGATGGAAGTAGCCATTTCATTCTTTAAAATCCATTTAAATCAAGTAATCATTATCACATGAGAAAAGTGAAATATTTCTGTGATTTGGGGTCAGATAAAATATCTTTATATATGTATTAAAAGGAGGTTTTAAACAAAATATTCCTTCTGTAGAACTGCCTATCTTTACTGTACCCACAAAATTTTGGAAAATTTCCACCTATGTTTTAAGGATGAAGTGAAGATACAGTTTATGTGCATGGATATTTATATATGACTATTTATAGAGTTTTTTGAATTAGTTTATGTGTGTATGTGTGCGTAAAATAGATTCACAGATTTATTAAATGCCACATAAAATGCTGACACATAGGGAATGTGCTAAAAAAATACATTTGGACGTGGGGGCATATGTTGAAGTTGACATACATACCCAAAGAAAAGATAATTTTCCTTAAGTAGAAACCATCTGTAACAGCAAGGTGGCTAGAGTGCAAAGAAGATGGATGGGTTATTGCTAAGAACAGATGTGACCAATATTTCATGCTACTGGCTCTTGTTTCTCCTGTCTGCATTCCCCCCAGTGGAGTGAAGGAATAGTTTGAGTAAACCATCCTAGGATGTGACATCTTCACCTCTACCTTTTCCACCTGTTCTTTCCAGGGGTGTACTACTTTTGCAATGTTGACTGTGGAACACCAGAGTTAGCAATGGCACAGCCACGGCATTACTTGGAGAAATTTCAACACATTTTCTACTTTTGAGCTTGCTCTTATCTAGCCAGCTTTGGGTTGAATGTGTCTGCTATACAGAAAACTTAGCAAATTTGAACTCGAGTTTTATAATGCAAATCAAAAAGGCTTATCTTTAACAACTTGCTCTGCAAACAAAATTTCCTATCTTCATTCTGATCACTGATGTAATGATTAATTGATGAAATAGTGTCTTAAATCTCTGTCCCTCCCCTTTTGTGTTACCCAGATCATCTCCTTGACAATCAAATGTTCCATTAAATCAGTCTAGTGGAAAATTCCTCAGTGCTTGTCTCCTTCTGGCATCTAGAGAAGCAAAGGTGTCAGGACCTCTGACCTTGAGGCTGTCACAGTCAAATATACAGCAACGTTCCCCAAAGCACAAACGAGGTGCAAACAGGCACATTTGGGGGATGTGGTAGACAAAGAATATGGCTTATGCAGTTTAAGGCATAATCTTGGCTTCTTAGCTCCATGCAGTTTTGTAAAGTCAGCTGAACTCTCACTCTTCTCACTGTTTTCATCCAAGTCTTTGAAACTGCCCTCTCTTCCAGCATATCTGGCTTAGATCTGCTTTCATAAACTGCTGCTTTCTCAGCCACTGCTCTTGATTAACTCCAAATCTCTCCAGCTCTTTGTCTCCACCCTCATTCAGCCTTTCTTTCACAGATTCCTGAACCCTGGCAAGCCTGTCACCCTGTTGTTCGGTTTTCTGCCAATCAACTCCTGGCTGATTCTGAAATTAGCATTCACAAAGCCCACATTTGCATCACACATACATAAGATATCTCCAATCTACAGCCAAAGGAAGACAAGTATAATATCCATATAATTGGGACGAGGGGCTATTAATCACACAGCTTCCAGCCGTGCAGAAAAGACTGCCAGAACACCATAATGATGAGCCAGGTGTGATATTTCGAGCTTTCTCCTTCTCCAGCCATATTTTCTTCTGGTTAGCATCAGATAGCACATTCAAAAAGAATACAGATGTGCACAGATTTAATAAAACCAAAAATTAAAAAAATCCACATTTTCAAAATAGATAAAATAAATGTATGTGGGGAGAGCCAAGGAGGAGATCAATTGGGGAGATATTATTGTTCACGTTACAGAAAAATTAATCGGATCCTTTCAATGTGTGATTGGAACAGCATGGATTATAAAATATGTTCACATGAATTAAATCTTTTGATTGTGTAACAGTCCTCTGAGGGCAGCAGAATAGGTTAAAAGCTCTTCCTAAGATATTTTAGCTAATAAATAGGGACAATGAACATGCTGTCATAGCAAGGTTGGGAAATAGTCTTCAATCTGAATGCCAGCAGCAGCTGATGGATAATGGATTCCCGGAGTGTAAAAATTCAGGGTTCTTGAGCAGCAAAGGATGCCATGATTGATTAGCTATGTCTGCCACAGGTGAGGGGAATGAAGAGGGATGTGCCTCACATTTATTATGCACATATTATACTTTACTTCCTGTGATAAAAACAATGAACAGGGAGTGTGTTTTACAAACAAATGTGCAGAAAGAATAATTTATATATATATATATATGTAAGCTTTCTGTTTTCCCACAGCCATTAGTGTTGACTTAGAAACAGTGTACAAATGAGCAGGGAAGCCATGGATGACATTAGAAAAGGTTCTAATATCTGGTACCTGGTTCATAGCTAAAAATAGTTTAAAGTCAAGTTCTCCTTCGGTTATATCTATTCCCTATTCAGAAAACTCTCTACTTTGTAGAGTGCATGAAATGGTAAAAATTATTTTTCAACAGATTGAGGAAAAAAATGTAGATAAAATGCATACATTGGGGTCAGTAAAGTCACAGATGTGTTTAGTTATGTTGTTAATAATTTATGTTTGCCATTTGTCTGGCTAAGACTTACTGAGGATACCGTTAGTGAAGAAGTTTTCCAAACTTTGAAACTCTTTATCCAAGTGGACTTGAGGTTGTGTTGGGAATGGCACATGGGTGTTTCTTTGGATGTAGCTGATATGTATGTTGTATGCATGGGAGTGGCCTTATTGTGCATGTTGCTGTTTGATGCCTCTTTTAATCTGGAAACATTCACAAAGATTTTATTTTTAAGATTTGAATTCTGACTTCCACGTCACCTAGAATATTGCCATTCACGTTTTACATGTTAAATCTAAGTTGTGAACTTGTGTAGTTTGAAAGGGATGAGTGGGAAGTGATATGAGCTGATACTAGCTACTCAGCAGTCAGAAGTGGTGTGGTTGCCATGGCCATGGGACTATCCTTTGTTACATTTATTTGAATTAAAAAATAAAACAGTATTTTAAAGGAAAAATTAGTTTGATTTGAATTGATTCACAGTAGATAATGATTTCATCATTTAAAAGTTATAGATTTTGGCCAGGTGTGGTGGCTCACGCCTGTAATCCCAGCAGTTTGGGAGGCCGAGGCCACTGGATCACGAGGTCAGGAGTTCGAGACCAGCCTGATCAACATGGTGAAACCCATCTCTACTAAAAATACACACACAAAAAAATAGCCAGGTGTGGTGGTGCACACCTGTAATCCCCGCTACTCAGGAGGCTAAGGCAGGAGAATCGCTTGAAACTGGGAGGTGGAGGTTGCAGTGAGCCGAGATCATGCTACTGCACTCCAACCTGGGCTACAGAGCAAGACTCCATCTCAAAAAAAAAAAAGTTACATATTATGCCATTTTTCAAAAACTAAATTAGCCAGATCTGCAGCTTCACAGTTTGACAAAAAATATACCCAAAACGCATGACTTCTTAAACAGATAGAAAATATTATTTCAAAAAACATATATTGAAATTAAATAACATTTCAGTATTTCCCAAACTGTTATTATATACATCAGTTTGAACTAGGTGACTATAGGAGAAAGAAGTAGGAATATAATTAATAATTGTTTGTTATGTCTTGGTAGTATTTTTGGTGTACTTCCCAGAAATTACTGTTGCAAATTGGGCAATTTTCAATTCTTTGCTTTCATTAAAATTGAAGGAAGACCTAATAGATTTGTCAGTTGGTAGACTATCTGAAATAAATTTTGTTATAAATAATTATGTAAACTGTGGCATGCAAAAAGTTGCTGCCGTTGAGTGTCATCATTATAATGAAAAGCCTTCAATGCTTCTCTATTTAGAGAACAAGATTTTTCAATGCTTAAACCTTAAGGAGAAAAAAAACCTAGAAATTGAATCGTCCTTAATTCTGTCTCATTCTAGTGCTAATGCTTGGTGGCTCATGCCTATAATGCCAGCACATTGGGAGGCTGAGGAGGGTGGATCACTTGAGGTCAGGAGTTTGAAAGCAGCCTGGCCAACATGCTGAAACCCCGTCTCTACTAAAAATACAAAAATTTGCTGGACATGGTGGCGGATGCATGTCATCCCAGCTACTCGGGAGGCTGAGGCAGGAGAATTGCCTGGACCCGGGAGGCGGAGGTTGCAGTGATCTGAGATCATACCATTTCACTCCAGCCTGGGCGAGACAGCAAGACTCTGTCTCAAAAAAAAGAAAGAAAAAAAAAAGAAATTCATATCAAATAAAATTTTATTTTATACCTAGTAGTTTTAATCAATATTTATAATAATGTTGTTTTGATCAATTTTATATAACAATAATTGTGTTGATAAACAAGAATACATTTTCAACACAATGCCTTATGGACATGGGAAAAAATCAAATTTAAGCTTATACATATTTAACATATATACAAATTTATACCTATACATAGATATTTTCTGCAAAGAAGTGTGATAGAATTATCAATATAAAAATTTCTTGGGAGGCCGAGGCGGGCGGATCACGAGGTCAGGAGATCGAGACCATCCCGGCTAAAACGGTGAAACCCCGTCTCTACTAAAAATACAAAAAATTAGCCGGGCGTAGTGGCGGGCGCCTGTAGTCCCAGCTACTTGGGAGGCTGAGGCAGGAGAATGGCGTGAACCCGGGAGGCGGAGCTTGCAGTGAGCCGAGATCCCGCCACTGCACTCCAGCCTGGGCGACAGAGCGAGACTCCGTCTCAAAAAAAAAAAAAAAAAAAAAAAAAAAAAAAAAAAAAATTTCAAGTTAAAAAACATTAGCACAAGCAGTGGAGTTCACAAAGAGAAGAAATTACATAAAATGTTTGATCTTTAAACAAGAATGTATACGTGTATCTTTAAATAAAAGAAGGTGAATTTCAAATCACAGTGGTATTCAAATTTCATTGGATTTATTTAAAAGAAAAATGTAGTAGGTCCCTTTAACATCTATTAGTATTGATAATGTGCCAAAATAAACAGACCTTTTGCAGCCAATTATTCTAGTCCATACTACCCAAAGAAATCTACAGATTCAATGCAATGTTTATTAAAAATCTGAATAGCATTTCTACAGAAATAGAAAAAAAAATCCTACAATTCATATGGAACCACAAAACACCAGAATAATCAAAACAATCTTGTGAAAGAACAAAGCTAGAAGTATCACACTTCCTGATTTCAAAATATTAAAAAAGCTGCAGTAATTGAAACAGTATGGTATTGGCATAAAGACAAACATATAGACCAAAGGAACAGAATAGAGTCCAGAAATAAATCCACATGTAATGGTCAGCTGATCTTCAACAAGGTAGGCATTTAAATAATGTTTAAAAATATCAAGCATCAATTCCAAATGTACATAGTTTTCAAGTGTTTAATTCTTTCCAAATATATGGGAGCAGAAGGGGGCAGTACTCTAAGTCAGTAGTTCTCTATACTGGCTGAGAATAGGAATTTCCTATTCAGTTGTTTAAAGGATTACCATGATATGACCTACTCATGGAAGTTTGTTTTCCTTAGGCTTGATGTAGGGACTACATGGTACACTTTTCAAATTTTTCATCAGAAATATTAGTGCCTTCCCTTTCTCTTCACTACTGATTCTTCTATGTCCTAAATTGCTCAGAAACACCTGGTGTCTACTCAGGAAAGATGATTCTCTAATACCAGAATGGCATCACAGCTCTGATTGCTCCATTGACTCCTTTTTAGGCCCTGAGAGTCATTTCCTTTCTGAGACTGCAGGATCAAGCCTTTCACACAACTAGCCTTTTATCAGATAATGAGTCTGTGTATCTATACTGTGCGTACCGTACTTCTCAGTAAATCGTGAGTTGGTGTAGATCTGGAATTGAAAACTAAGTCTTCCAGATTCTTCCTAGTCCAGTATCAAAGACTCTACAACTGTTTTCTTAGGACAAACTGTCTTGTGCCTGCAATAGAAAATAGACAGAATGACTAGCCCTGGGCTTCTTTCCCTGTTCCCATGGTGGTTCAATAGCTTTGTTACATGGCTTCAGTTATGCCTACTACTCCAACTCTAGTTCTCCTGTGTACCAGAAACACAAACCTGCTTGTCAAAAGATAGTAATCCAGTAAACAAAATAAATGTGTTTGTTTTTCTGTAACATCAGAATAGTTTATAAAAATAGTCACAAAAATATGGGAAGAAGAAGCAAATACCAATGTAAATAGAGAGTTTTCCCTATGGCAATGTTACTGAAATAGGAGAATGAAGGTGGTAAGTAGAACAGGGAAAGGACATTTCTGGGCACAGCTCAGAGTTGCAAAGCATGGATAAATAAGCGAAGTCCCACAGACTAATTTCAGAACCTTGACTGGATCCATCCCTGAATAGTAAAAAATATTATTATTACTGAATAGTAAGAAGTAAGTTGTTGTTACTTCTGAAATGGGCACAAATTTAACTTTCCAATCTATTCTCTATTCCTCTAAATAATAATAAATTCATGTGAATATCATCCCCTTTGGAGTGTAACACCTTGATTGTAATGTCAATCAAGTTTTGGTTAAAGTCAACAGTATACAATTATCATGTTCTAAATTTTATTTCACTTTACTACTGAAAAGTGCAGTTGTAAATTGGTGAGTGGTTCTGTGAGCAAAGTGCAAGAACTTAAACAGCCTCTAAAGTCAGATTACGTTTAAGATTTTTTTTTGCTTTTAATATTCTCAGGTATTCCCTATATGCAAATTTAGTAATATAAGGTAAAATATTCACAGTCTGGGAGCAAGAATCCTTAAATCTTATACCCAGTTGTATAACAAGCTGTTTTGTAATTATGAACTAAATGAGATAATGTTTAAGAAATTGCCTTGAAAACAATAAAGGTAATGTTATTTATTTTCTCTTTAGCTCAGTTTCTTCCACTGCTCATTGAGAATACTATTAGCTTTTCAGGCCAACTCACAGTGACATACAAAAATTAACTAAATCCTACTAAATTTACTTACTCCCCAGATAGAACTGTGATTCTTAAAGCTAGTGTAATAATATTTAGTGTAGTTCACCACTATCCTACACAGCAGCAAATTTTATCCCATATCAACCATTATTATCAGGATGCAATATATTTTTCTATGTGTACTGTTTGAAGCATATCACATTCTAAGGAAATGTTTGGAAACATCAGGGAATAAAAATGCCAACACATTTAAGATAGTAGTAAGGATTATATGTTGCAAAAAAAATCACCAATAATTGTGTTTTCTTAGTAATGTGAGATTTAAAAGTTGAAATTGTTTGCATACAATGTTGTGCAATAAACAATGTATGATCCCATTTTTATATTTGATTTTATAATCATAAAATTATTTCAGGAAGAAGTGAAGTACATTAAATTATAAGTTATTTCAGAAATAAGTAAAGTATATGAAGATATATTAAAATACAGTATTTTTTGAAAGACATTACAAGTTTTTGGCCTTGAATAAAAGGTCAGCATCCTTCTTCATAATACTGTATATAATATTATTGCCTTTTAGGATGATTTTCCAGTCATGATCAGTTATTATGATACAAATTTCTTAAAAATATATCTTTGATGGCAATTTTCTCTTCATGAGAACTTCTAAACATGGTGATAGGACAATAATAGTAGGATATGTTAGTGTTTTCAAATAAGAGCAAGGAATTCTCAAAGGAAGGGTATAAAGATGACAGCTATAAGATGAGGGATAATTTATTGTTCAGTATGTTATACTTGAGGGAAAAAGAATTTAAAATATGGGCAGACACACTTAAGCTAAATAATTTTTACACAGTAAAAAAAGAGCCATTGGTGACATTCCTTCTGTACCTTTTGCTTTTACCAATCTTATAAATAGGATCGAAAACTCTACTGTTCCCAACCCACACATTCTTCTATATAACAAGATATCTGATTCCTAGTTCTTATTATTCTCTTGCCTTTTCCTCTCCTCATGGCACTGTGGCTGCTTCTGTCCTGACTGCCATTTGTTTCTCTCTGACACTTGTCCCGACTGCCGTTCATTTTGTTAGACTCCTATCAAGCAGTGGCCCTGAGAGTCAAGGCCATAACTTTTTATATACATATGTTTACTACGTGTAATCTTCTAACTTAGTTCATACTATTACACTTTATTATACTCAAGGAAGCAGTTATTTGTCACGTGATTATTTTGGTTAGTGCTAATTGCAAATATGGCTCTAGAGTCATGGACTGAAGTAGAGTGTCCTGTCTTCAAGGATATTTTGAGTTTCTTTATCTCCTCTTATATCCTGAAATTTATGAGTTATTCCATTCTCCTTTATTGATTTCCAATAGCTCTACCTCTTAAGTTTGATTAGCTTATCATCAACAACGTTATAAATAGAGACTATTCCTTTTTCCTCTCACGACCTAGTGTCTTCTAGCAATTCGTCTTTACTTTCCCTACCCCCTGTTCCATAACCTAATTGATTTCTTCATCAGAGAATAATAGCAGGTTCTATTTTATTTTTTAATGTCTTAGTTTTTCAACTCATACGCATTCTAATTTCATGCCATCTTCTTAGTTTAATGCCATGTTTAGGTTGATTCAGTCCTACCATACGATATGTTAGCATAAAAACAATTTTTCCTGAAATTATACTGTGAGGTACGGAAAACTTCCATGTCAGTGATTCAATAATTGTTCACGTATTTCTCTTCAGCAATGTCTTTTTTCGCAAACAGAAATGTCTGTGTTGCTTACAATTTAAAAATTAGAGGCAGGTTGTCAAAGGAAGCTTGATAATAAAAATATAGTAAAGAAGTCACCAAAATAGATGACAAAATGTGTTTGGCCACATCTTTATTGTCCTTTAATTGTGACTCTGGGATCTGAATTGATATGACATAGCCATGTGGTACTCACATGTTCTTTGGTTCAAACTTGTGGCCTTAAAAGCTTCAAAGTTGCTGTGATCATTTATCTGGGCTGATTTGGAAGACCCACATCCCGGCAGTAGTATGGATTTTTCTTCTGGGCAATATATTGTGGCAATATAATAGGGTGCACATGACAACTTATCACCAGGATAGTATATGGAGTAATGGATCATAGTTGCTGTCTTGGAATACAGGCAGAAACTTCATTAGAGTCTGGATTTAGGATAACCAATGGCATTGTATTCTTCCATACTGTTCAACTGCTTAGAGTTAGAAACAGGTTTACATTCATTCAGTCACTCAACAGATATTCACTGAGTGCCTCTGCCCTGCATTGGTATGAAGCACTGTACATACAGGGGTGAGTCAAAGTCTTTGCTGTCAGGTAAATTAAATTCTTGTAAGGAGACGCAAATGAATATCTATAGTATGTTCAGTAGGGTAGCTGCTCTGCTGATGAATAAAATAGGATAAGGTAAAAAAGAGCCAAAAGAGAATGGCCAGGGAAGGCCATTCTGTGATAGGTGACTTTAGAGCTAAAATCTGACTGCAGTGAGGACTGGCCCATGTGGATATTTGCGGAAGGAGTATTATAGGTAGGAGAACATTCAGGGTAGGGAACTCTACTCAGGCCAGCATTATCTGGAGCTCTGACCAGGTATAGCCTAGTCTGCAGTCAGTAAATACATATTACTATTCTTAAAAGGAAGCTAGCTTACATATATTTTTCTTCTTCCCTCTTTCTGACTTCTTAAATTCTCCTCTTTCATTAAAAGATTCCCCACATTCTTTCAGAATCTAATCATTCTCTCCACCTCCGTTTCTCACATTTTTTGGCATTACATTTATTTTTCAACTTTTTCTATCCACCTCACCATATTCCATTTATCTGTTTCCTTCTGCCTGACAAGCCTGACATTGAGCGTACTGCTCCCCCTCTCAAGTCTTCCCCTTTCTGTCCTCCTCTCCATCACTGTCAGGATAAATATCATCATCCCCATTTCTGAAGACTGGAATCATGCTGTCATCTTCACTCTGTTTTCTATCTCCTCCCATGTAGGTTGGTGCAAAAGTAATCGCAGTTTTGCCATTTGAAAGTAATGGCAAAAACCACAATTATTTTTGTACCAACTCCAAAATAATCCAAATGCATTACTATGTAACTAAATTTTAGAGAAATGTTAGTTACTTGATTGCTAGAAGCCAATATTTTTCCAAGTGTTTCTAGAAAATCACTGTTGTTACTCATCCATTCGATTATAAAACCTATTCTCCAGAATCTTGTTGATGTTAAGTAACATTTTTATGGTAGACAATGCCTTGCCAAAGGTTGATTGGCATGACTCATTATCATCACTCTTCCCTCTGTACAGATGAGTTCATATAAACATTGGAATTTTCAAGAGTGTTTTTAAAAGATTCATTCAGTGAGAAAAGTATAGAATAATATTAATAAAATTTGATTTTGTATAGCATTATTTTAAACATAGTTTATAGAAATCTTCACATACAAATTATTGTGATGTGTTCAACAACTCCATAAGTGAGATTAAATCTGAGTGCCATGAGCATGTGTCTGGAAAAATTATTTGATCATTTAAGTTATAAATTAAGAATCACTGAAAGCACAATTAAATATATCTGCAAGAACATTTACCTGAGATTAATCTTTGCTTTCTGTGTGTGTGTGTGTGTGTGTGTGTGTGTGTGTGTTGCATAATAGATTTTTTCTTTTATATCCCATATGCTTACAGATGTTAATCTCCAGAGAAGAACAATAATTCTCTCAAGAAAGGTGGTTTGTTGCCTGGCTTTGTTTCACTGACACCCAGTTGGAAGCTCTGATGACAAATAGTCTGCCCATCAGCTTTGCTTCATGAATCCAAAGAAAATGGAACTTATCAGAAGCTGAGCCTCAAGCTTTACCTGTGCCTGTTATTTGGGCCTTTTCACGCTAGGTTTGGCAGGGGTCTTAGTCTTTCATCATTTGGTTCACCAATAGAAAGAGAAGGGAGCAGTTGCACTTTTAGGTACCACTCTGCAGACTGCTATATTGCAAAATAAACAAACAATATATTTTTAGGGCACCACCTGCAGCAAGCAGCTGTACCAAACAGAGCAGAACCACGAAGGATGTGATTTGTTCCATTTAACACGAAGCCTTAAGGTTTGAGAAGAGAGGGAGGAGAAGGTTCTATGTATACAACCCACACATCACAATTTAAACTGAAGCTGATTTTCTCTCTTTTTTAGATTGGAATTGAGGTATCATTATATCTCTCCTCCTTTCCCACCCCACAACCTCTGGTTGAAAACAATTCTATTATTGAGGTTATAACGTTAACTGAGAAAATTATTTTTCTCTGCCAGCAAACTTTCTTTTCCATTCAAGGGCAATTTTCTCTCATAGCAAACTATACTTAAATGCCAACATCTGCTACATCTAAGCTGTATATAAAATGATGTCTGGCATTTACATGATGCCAATGACATGGTTAGAGAAACTCATACACTTGGCTTACACAGGATTTTCTTCTCATCTATAGCTTTCCTCTATTTCTGTCCTTCCTTAGGATCTGTCTGCCTCTCTAAATGTGCCACACAAGTTCAAAATACTCTGAAAGCTGAACCTTCAGCTCTTATTCTGATCAACAATCTGTTTTTGCCTTAATCCATTTCTTTCCAGGCATAAAAACTATATAGAGCCTCATGATAAAAATTTCACCATCCCTGCACTCTCTGAGTATATAGCAGCTGATGCAAGACATATTTTAGGTACTTGGTTTTTTCTTGGATTTAAAAATCTCTTCGTTCTCTTAATGGCTATTGATTCTGGCCTCACAAACCAAAATCACCATTTCATTTTCAGTTCTAGGTGAGCTGGGATAAATATAATTAAATTATAGATGACTCTGGAGGCAATCCAGTTAGTTACAAATTGAGGTCATTCTAAGTACAGAATGGGGCAGTTAGCTTTAATATTAGATTGGCCACCAAGAACCATACAATATTTTAATGTTTTTCCTGTCAATGAGCCCATTTTAAAAAACAAAAAAGAGAGAAGAAACTGTTCTAAATATTTATGAAGTGAACTAGAATGCCATTCTTAAGTCTTCTACCACTTACTAGATTGTTAGTCTGGGGAGAAAATTACATTTCATAGTACTTTCAGATATTGCTCTAGGACTCAGAGAAGTGAGATGAAAGAATTATAAGTCTGCAATGATGCCTCCAGATAACAGAGGAAATCAAATCTTGTGAGCCGGGAAGCAAAGTTGCCTTCACTGTCATCATCAAGGGGATGATTTGTAAGAATATTGGGCATGAAATAAATTCTTGCCAAAGTTGTCTACAGGAGTGTCCAATGTGGGAATTGTTGTCATCTCTTTCACCCTTCTAACATTAAAAGGAACTTACTGAAAAAGTTCTCAGACTGGATTTTGCTAAATTGTGTCTGCTTTGGAATCTTTGTCCATCAGTCAAGTCTCTATGACTATTGGATAGTGCTTTTAACTCTGTGTGGTCAAAACTTTGGAAGAAGTAAGAGAAATATCTTTCATTCCAAAGAACAAAAGAGGACCATTAGTCAGAGCATCTTTATTTTTCATAAAAAGAAAAGTCAGTTAGATTGATCATTCATGAATATTTATAATATATCAGATATTCTTTGGGGCTCTCTGGAAAAAAGTAGTAAGCCTTTGACAATGAGGCTGTGTGGAATAAGGGAAAGGAATAGATATAACTGATATTAAATAAAGTTAAAAAATGGCTTGACAAAGAAGAGGATTCAACATCTCAGATTATTGAAACCCTATGTAAAAGATACAGAGACAAAGGTTAGGCATCTTCTCTAAGCCTCAGTTTCCTCATCTGTAATAGGCATAACTACTCTCTAACTCATTTGGTATTTTTAATTGTTGTAAAAAACACATGACCTGAAATCCACCTTCTCAACAAATTTTTAAGTGTCCAAGACACTGCTGCTGACTGTATGCACATTGTTGTAAAGCAGATCTCCAGAACTTTACATCTTGCATGGCTGAAAATATACACTCATTGAACAGCAACTCCTCATTTTCTCCCTTCCCCAAGCTTCTGGCACCCACCATCATACTCTCTGCTTCTGTGAGTCTCACTACTTTAGATAACTCTTGTTAAGTGGAATCATGTAGTATCTGTCCTTCTGTGATGTGCTTGTCTCATTAAGCATGATATCCTCTAAGTTCATCTATATTGTTGCCTATAATAGGATGTTCTTCTTTTTAATGCTGAATAACATTCCATGATATGTATATACCACATTTTCTCTATCCATTCACCTGTCAGCAGATATTTAGGTTGATTTCATATCTTGCCTACTGTGAATAGTGCTGCAGTGAACATGGGAATGCAGATGTTCGTTCAAGATTCAATTTTCAGTCCTTTGGCTAAATATCCAAAAGTGAAATTGTTGAATGATATGATCATTTTACTTTTAATTTTTTGAGAACTGTATACTGTTACACCATTTTACATTTCAAGCATCAGTACACTAGGGTTCCAGTTTCTCCACATCGTTGTCAACACTTGTTATTTTCTGTTTGGTTGTTGTTGTTGTTTAATAATGGCCATCCTAACAAGTATGAGGTGATATCTCACTGTGGTTTTGATTTGTATTTCCCGGATGATTAGTGATGTTGAACTTTTTTCATATACCTGTTGGCCATTTGAATGTCTTTTTTGAAGAAATATTTACTTAAGTTCTTTGCCCATTTTTTAATTGGGTTTTTTTTTCACTATTAAATTTTAGAGGTTTATCATATATTTTAGATATTAACCTATTATCAGATATATGGTTTACCAATATTTTCCACTATTCCCTAGGTTGCCTTTTCAGTCTGTTTATTATTTCCTTTGCTGTGCAGAAACTTTTATTTTAAAGTCTAACTTGTCTATTTTTTGTGGTTGCTTGTGCTTTTTATTTCATATCAAAGAAATCATTACCAAAACCAATGCTATGAAGTTTTCCACCTATATATCTTCTAGGAGTTTTACAGCTTCTTAAGCCTTTCTTCCATTTTGATTTGGTTTTTGTATATATTAGTTCAGTTTCTTTCTTTTGCATGTGGATATTTACTTAACATCATTTGTTGTGAAGACTATCATCTCACCATTGTGTAGTCTTGACAACCTTGTCAAAAATCATTTGACTGTATATGCATAGGCTTCTTTGGCTTATTTTGGGGCTCTCTACTCTGTTTCATTAGTCTATATGTATCTGTTGTTATGCCAGTACCATACTGTTTTGATTATTGTAGCTTTGTAATATGTTTTGAAGTCAGGACGTGTGAGGCTTCTGCTTTGTTTTTCTTTCTCAAGATTGTTTGGGCTGTTGGGGTCTTTTTGGTTCCATATGACTATTAGAATATTTTTTCTATTTCTGCAAAAAAGAGCCATTGTGCTTTTGATAGAGATTTCATTGAATCTGTAGATTGTTTCCGGTACTATTAACATTTTTAAGAATAGTAAGTTCTTTCAATCCATGAACATGAATGTCTTTCCATTTATTTATATCTTCTTTAATTACTTAGCAATGTTTTATAGTTTTCAGGGTACAAGCCTTTCATATCATTTGTTAAGTTTATTCTTAAGTATTTTATTCCTTTAGATGTGATTATAAGTGAGATTTTCTTAATTTCTTTTTCAGATTATTTGCTGTTAATGTATAGAAATACAACTGATTTTTTTGTGTTGCTTTAATATCCTGCAATGTTTGTGAATTTGTTTCTAACAGGTTTTTTTGTGAGACCTTTAGTGTTTGATATGGGTTTTACAGATTATGTCATCTGAGAACAGAAATATTATTCTTTCTTCTTTTCTGATTTGGATACCTTTTATTTCTTTCTCTTGCCTAATTTATCTTGGTGAGGACTTCCAATACAATGTTGAATAAAAGTGGCAAGAGTGGGCATCCTTGCCTTGTTCCTGATCTTCAAGAAAAAACTCTCCATTTTTCACCATTAAGCATGAGGTTAGCTGTGAGTGAGCTTTTCATATATGGTTCTTGTTTTACTGGCATAATTTCCTTCTATTCATAGTTTGTTGAGTGTTTTTATCATGAAAAAGAGGTGAATTTTGTCAAATGCTTTTTTCTGCATCCATTGATCTGATCTTGAGATTTTTAAATTCCTTCATTCTGTTAATGTGGTATGTTACATTAATTGATTTTTGTATGTTGAACCATCTTTACATCCCAGGGATAAATTCTACTTGATTATAGCCTATGGTCCTGTTAAGGTGTTGTTAAGTTTAGTTTGCTAGTATTTGTTGAAGATGTTTTTGTTTTGCTAGTATTTGTTGAAGATGTAAACATCGATGTTCATCAGGTATATTGACCTATAGTTTTCTTTCTTGTAGTGTCTTTTTGTGGTTCTGATATCAGGACAATGTTGGCCATATAAAATGAGCTTGTAAGTGTTCTCTCTTCTTTAATTTTTTTGAAAAAGTTTGAGAGGCATTGGCATGAATAGTTCCTTAAATGTTTGGTAGAGTTAATCAGTGAAACTGCTTGTTCTTGGACTTATGAGTTATTGCTCAGTTCAGATTTTCTATTTCTTGATAATTAAGTCTTGATAGATTATATACTTTTAGGAATTTATTCATGTCTTCCAAGTTATCTAATTTGTTGCTGTATAATTATTCATGGTAGTCTCTTATAATCCTTTGTATTTCTATCACATTCATAATGTCTCCATTTTCGTTTCTGATTTTGAGTCTTCTTTTTTCTTTTTTATCCTAAGTGAATGTTTGTTAATATTGTTGATCTTTTCAAAAAACAGTTGTTAGTTTTTTTGTTTTTTTAATATTTTTTTCCATTCTCTATCTCATTTAATGTTTACTACTTCCTTCCTTCTGTTCAAAATTGGGCTTATTTTTTCCTTCTTTTTCTGGTTCTTTGAGTTGTAAAGTTACATTGTTTGTTTAATATCTTTCTTCTTTTTTAATGTATGCATTTACCACTGTAAACTGCTTTCTTCATACTGCTTAGCTGCATCTCATAAGTGTTGATACGTTTTGTTTTTATTTTTGTTTCTCAAAACATTTTATAATTTCCCTTTTGATTTTTCCTTTGTCCCGTTGGTTGTTCGAGAATGTATTGCTTAATTCTCACTTATTCATGAATTCTCCTATGTTTCTTTTGCTGTTGATTTCTAGCTTCATTCCATTGTGGTCAGAAAATATTTTTGGTATGATTTCAATCTTCTTAAATCTGTCATGACTTATTTTGTGACCTAACATGTGATTCATTTGGAGAATGTTGTGTGTGTGCTTGAGAAGAATGTATATTCTGCTGCTGTTGGACAGAATGTTCTGTATATGTCTTTTAGCTCCATTTTGTCTATATTGTTGTTCTAGTCCTCTTTTTCTTATCGACTTTCTATCTGGGTGTTCTATCCATTATTGAATGTGGGGTATTGAAATCTCCTACTATCATTTAATTGCTGTTTATTTCTCCCTTCAGTTCGTCAGTAACTGCTTCATATATTTGAGTGCTCTGATGTTGGATGCATAAATATCTATAATTGTTATATCTTCCTCATGAGTTCACCCTATTATCCCTATATAGTCCTTCTTTGTCTCTTGTGACTATTTATTATTTATTTATTTTTAGAGACAGAGTCTCACTCTGTTGCCCAGCCTAGAATGCAGTGGCACAATCATAGCTTACTGCAGCCTCAAAATCGTGAGCTGAAATGATCTCCCACCTTAGTCTCCCAAAGTACTGGGATTATAGGCATGAGCCACCACAACTAGCCTTCTTGTGACAATTTATTTAAAGTCTATTTTGTATTCTATAAGTATGGCCCACCCCTACACTTTTTTGGTTAATATTTGCATGGAGTATCTTTTTCCATCCTTTCACATTTAGCCCATGTGAATACTTAAACCTAAAATAAGTCTCTTGTTATCTCAAGATCCAGCATTAAATTGGATCTTGTGGGGTTTGTTGTTGTTGTCGTTGTTGTTGTTTTGGGGTGGAGGACAGTGTCTCGCTCTGTCGCCCAGACTGGAGTCCAGTGGCGTGATCTCGGCTCACTGCAACCTCTGCCTCCTGGGTTCAAGCAATTCTCCTGCCTCAGCCTCCCAAGTAGCTGGGATTGCAGGTCCACGCCACCACACCCAGCTAATTTTTGTATTTTTAGTAGTGACAAGGTTTCACCATGTTGGCCAGGCTGGTCTCGAACTCCTGACCTGAAGTGATCCACCTGCCTTGGCCCTCCAAAGTGCTGGGATTACAGGCGTGAGCCACCGGGTCTGGCCAGATCTTGTGTTTTTATTCATTCAGTCATTTCCCATATTTTCAAAAAGGAGTTTAATCTGTTTATATTTAAAGTAATTTCTGAAAAGGAAGGGCTTACTATTGCCATTTTGTTAATTGTTTTCTCTTGGTCTTGTAGGTTTTTTTCATCTTCTTTCACTCTTACAGTCTATCTTTATGTTTCATTGACTTTTTTTAGTGGCATACTTTGACTTATTTCTCCTTTGTGTGCCTTCAATATTTTCTTTATGGTTACTATGAGATTTATTTAAAACATCATATAGGTAAAACAATCTATTATAAACTAATCACAACTTCAATCAAATACAAAAACTACTTTTTCATCACATACACATTATGTTACTGATGTCATAAATTACATCTTTTTATACTGTGTATCTATTAACATATTTTTATAGTAATAGTTATTTTTGTAATTTTGTATTTTACTTCTATGTCAGAATTAAAATTGATTTATGTACCATTACAGTTTTACAGTATTCTGTATTTATCCCTTATGTATTTACATTTACCCATGATCTTTCTATTTTCATATGCTTTTGTGTTGTTATCTAGCATCCTTTCATTTCCACTTAAAGGACTTCCTTTAACCTTTCTTTTTAAGGCAGGTCTAGTGGCCATAAACTCCTTCAGTTTTTCTTTATCCAGGAATGTCTTCTTTTTCCTTCATTTTTGAATGACAGTTTTGTCAGATTTAGCATTTTTTGCTGGTAGTGTTTTTTTTCTTTCAGCACTTTGAATATATTATCCCACTCCCTTCTGAGTTGCAAGATATTTTTTAGAAATCCACTTACAGTCTTATAGAAACTACCTTGTATGTGATGTCTCTTTTTTCGTGCTACTTTCAAAATTCTGTCTTCATTTGACTTTTAACAATTTAATTATCATGTGTCTCAATGTGGATTTATTTACATTAATTGTAGTTGGAACTACAGCTTTTTGAATCTGGGTGTCCATTTCCTTACCTAGATTTAGGGAGTTTGGGGGCACTATTTTTTCAAATAAGCTTACTTTTCCTTTCTCTCTCTAGTCTCCTCCTGAAACTCTCATAATATATACATTGGTTCACTTAATGATGTACCATAAGTTCCTTAAGCTTTCTTCAACTTTCTTCATTCTTTTTTTATTTTCTCCTCTTTCTGGATAATTTCAAATAACCACTCTTTGAGTTTGCTGATTGATTTTTTTTCTCATACCTGATCAAGTCTGCTGTTGTAGCTTTCTAGTGAATTTTTCAATTCAGTTATTATATGCTTCAGGTCTAAAATTCATTTGGTTCGTTTTAATATTTTTCATCTCTTTGTTAATAATCTCATTTTGTTCACCCATTGTTTTCCTGAAATACTGAGCATCTTTATGACAGTTATTTTGAATTCTTTGTCAGAAATTTTATATACCACCATAGTTTGGAGTTCATTTGTGGAAATTTTCTTTTGCTCTTTTGATTGTGCCATGTTTCCCTGTTTCTTCATGTGCCTTGTAACTTTTGTTCGGATTCACACATTTGTCAAAGTAGCCACTTCTCCCAAACTTTAAAAACTGGCTTTGTACAGGGAAAGATCTTTGTTAATCAACCCACCTACAGACTCTGACAACTTCTCAAACCTTTTCTATGGATGAATCTTCTCTGGACTAGTGTGTGTAAATTTCAAATCAGAGCGATTTACTAGTTTCATTTTTTCCAGCAGTTTGTGTTCTTTCACTCCCTTGGTGCATGTCAGAAGTACCAAAGGTTCTCCGGAGTGATCATCAGATGCCTAGCTGTTTTATTCTCTGTGGTCCACAGGCTTCTCGAGTATACTAGGTCTCATTAGGACTCCAAGACAGTCAAGAGAGAAGCCAGTCCCTGGACAGCCCACCCCCAAAAAATAATCCTGAATATTGCAAACACATTTCAACTCTTTCCCTCCCCTGGAAGAAGCCATGTCTTGGGGTTTTCTCTTGCCCATTCTACCCTGAACCCGGGACAAGGGTGGGACTATGATGCATAAGGGTGTGCTAGTCCTAAGCATCACTTTTTTTTCAGTGACGCTCAAATTGGTGCCCTTTTCTGTCAGTACTTACATTTAGACAAGACAGAAACCAGTGCCTTGGGCAGCCCTCCAAAAAGTATGAATGTCGGACATATTTCAGCTTTCTCCTTCCCTACCTAGGAAGAAGCCAGGAGCTGGAGGTATTTTCCCAATCATACTATACTGAGCCAAGTGGAAGGACTGTGATGAATGAGTGCCATCGATTTTTCTGGCTTTGATGCAGCTAGTTTTGCAATCACCTGGGGTTTAGCAGTCTCTTAACTGGTTTGTTGATTACTCACAGAAAGAATGGATCCATGTGTTAGTCATTTTCTCCACAGAGGAAAGAGAGCCTGAGAATTTTTATTCTACCATCTGATGATGTCACTATCCCTAATTCATTGTATTTTGTGGGTGAGAATAAAATAAATAATGGTTTTTAAAAGTCTCTATTTTTTTCACAGAATAGGTCTTCAGTAAATATTAGTTGTTTTGTTGTAATTATTGTTAATAATGTGTGACAGGAACTAGGCAGGTTTATATGGAAAAAGTAGAAGTAGTGACCATTCAGGATTTTTACATGAGAGCTGGGCTATTCAAAGTTGTCAGTTGATAAATGAGTCTGAAATTTAGGCAAAATTTTTAAATGTGATGTGAAAGATAACAGAAACCACTGTAAGTGTCTAAATAGATAAGAAAGCAAGAGATATCATTATTTATTACGATGAGCCACCAAAATTTTCTTATAATTCTCTTATGTGCTATATTTTCTATTAGGCAATAATAACAAATTGTTGTTTCTACTATACTGAAAATTCCTCCATAATAATCTGGTTGTAAAGTAACCTAAGGAAGAACCAAAACTTGACGGCTATTTGAATATGGGACCTTAAGAAAGAATAAATCAATCAATAATAATGTTTAAAATTTAAGGAATGTGTTTCCCTTAAAGATTTACTGCAGACCTCCTTATAAAGGAGAAGCCAAGAGATGCTGTGGCAGTTGATGATTTGATGAGTCAAAGACAGAATCAGTATATATCTATGAGTGGAATTGACATCTAGTTTTAGTGTCAAATAATTAGATAGCTTCTCATGAACTCATTCAAAGCTGGTTGAGAGCCTTTTAACATAGAACACTCCGTTTTAAAAATGTTTACCTGAGAATAAATGTTTTGCATCCGTCTTTACAGTCCACCTAGGAACTGGCATAAATGTCAGAGTTCCTACATACAGGAACCAAAGTCTTAGATTTTATGTCTTAGTGGTATTTGGCTATCAGGTGGCTCTCCCTGAACATACAAATTAAAATATATTTATTGATTCAAATACTGTATATATGCATATGAAAAATAATGCAAATAATAAGGGAATTACAAGACAGCCCAGGATTTTTTCTTGCTTTTACTTCATACTCTCAATGGACAAAATAAAGGTTAAATATAACAAATTACTTGACCACTGCAGATAATATTTGCGCTGAGACAGAATTGTAAGCAAATTTTAAAGTGACCGTCCTTTCCCTTAAATGTTCAATGAGATACCTAACTTTAATTAGATAATATTCATAAAATAAATGAGAAAGAAAGGAAAAACTAGGCATATTTAAAATATACTTCTACTTAGTACTTTTCTTAATATATAAATAAAAAATAATCCAAAATATGCAACTAGATAGTAGCATATGAGAAATGATTCTAGTTAATCCCATTCTAAATATTACTTTCAGGATGCAAAAACTGAGAACAGTCCATAGAGATTATTTAGTATAATTTCTTTGTTTTATAGATGAGAACACTGAGTCATACAGCTGAATCCTTCCAGGGTTAGGACGATAAGCACTTTACAGATCTATATTCTTCCCATATCAATCATTGTATTGACTCTAGTGTTCACATATTATTTTATTAGCATCTAAGAAATATAACCTAGGGCTCTACTTATATATTTAATTTCAAGTCCACCTATAAAACAGCAGGAATTTATTTTAACTTTTTTTAACATCTGTCTTCTATCCTTTCTACCTCCCACTAAGAATATCATCTTCTTTGATATAAATCACACATCTAACTGTCTTCCACTTCTTTGGGGGTAAATGTTATTAAAAATAAACAAACAAACCCCTGATTGAATATAAATTATATGTTGTTCAAAATCTCTAAGTTCAGAGAATAATTAATAGCTTGATGTATCATCTTGGTGTATGATTAATCTTGTTACTTAATTGCTATTTTCAGATAAATATCTTTGTACCCTTTGACTTATGCTTGCTGCAGAATGATGTAGTTTTCAGAGGGGTGATTATTTATTGTTATGCCATTCTGGTTACTTTGCTTATTGCCAAAGTATATGCATAGTGTATGTGCTCTGCTGCTATAGATAGGAATGAAGATTGGAGATTGAGACATATGGGGATAGAGAAAGTGAATGTTTGGGAAATCTAAAATTGGATATAATATAGAATCTTACTGGCTTCTATGTGAGAAAATCTTCTATGTTTCTGATAATTCTATCCTTCTAAGCACCCTCACCTATAAACAGGTGGGAAACCAGAAATAGAAATAAAAATTTAAGAGATCATTTAAATGCAGAACTGATACCTTGAGCACCAGTGAAGCAAATTTGCAAAGAAACCATGAAAGAAAGGAACAGAGGGAGAAGAAAATATTACAGGAAAGGCAAGAGAAGGGTGAGAAAAATAGAAAGAGTAGAGCAAATACTGGGGATAAAAATGTAATGTACATATTTTTCAAAGAATCAGAGATTTACTTCAAGTTCCAAAAATATTTCTGAACATATATAAATCCAAGCTTTTCATTTTCACCAGTAAAAAATGTTTTTTTTTTACAAATAAAAATTATTAGTAACACAGTTAAATGAAATGGTGAACAGATTTAGGGGACAAATAAATGATCATGAAATGGCTAATCTTTAAACAGCCAGAGAGCTATGATCAGAGAACTACCAAATTTTAATGACTAGTTCCCATTATAGGAAGGATGACCTTGTAGTCATAAGTTAGAAAACTTCAAAAAGCTTATCTGAAAAAGATGCTGGCACTATATAATTGAAAAAGGTCATGGTATTAATCTGTTAAAACATTCATATTCTGTAGGAGGGTCACAATGTTTGAGTAGGAGCATAAGATTAAAAATATTTTATTAGCTTTTAGATTTTGTGACGTGAAGTACTGACAGTAGAGCCAGTGTTTTTGTAAGAACTCACAACCACAGGATATCATTATTTTAACTCAGTATTAAGTCTCAAAAAGAATTGTATAAGTAAAATAGTATCTAACATCAACTTCAATCCGGAAGGAAAATGCTACCAATATTTGTGATAAAATACAAACAAAATGTGCTGAACTTGAGTAAATTTTTCCACTTGATCTACATTTCAGGACAGTATCAATTAATGCTCTCCAATATTAAGATTGATATATTGGAACTTAAAAAAACTCATCAGAGAATTATAAACTCTATAAAACAACGTCTTTTTTTTATTTTGTGAGTAGAGATTAATGGAATCACTTCAATCACCCTACATATGGAAGGCCCAGCTAAAAAGATTACCTCTTTGCTTTACTCAGGTTCTCACTTGACATATCAAACCACGTCTGACGAGGAAGTGGCTCCCACAGCTCTCCTGTCATGCTTCCGAAGTCGTGGGCAGTGATAAGTTTTGACTGTGCAGCCAGCATATGTCATGATAAATTTTCAACTCTCTAAATAAAGAAAATACACACTGTTCTTGGATCAAGATTAGGCTTGGTTTTCCACCCACCTTTGTCCTCAAACACATTTGTAACAAACATAAGTAAATACTTGACAGGTGAATATCACCGGTGCCATTAACTGAAATAAAATGAACCATGAGTAGAAAGTGTTAATTCACTATTTCAATCACATCCCATTCGCAGAAAAAGGATCACAGATTCTCAACCCTTTAAATGTAACCATGGAGAGCAGAAAATTCCGTTCCTGTGGGCAACAAGATAAGTCTATGTGATGCCATTAGGGACTTTTTAATGAGACTTTCTCTATATTGCTATGTGTTGTCAAACGTCTACGTTTATCTAAATGATCTCCTTGGCCAGACTTAAATTCCTACATTATTTCTCTGCTGCCCACATGTCAAAATCTCCTCCACTCAGAGAAGTTGCTTTTCCTGCACACAGTTTACTGGAATTAGGGAGGTTGATAATGCATCTACCAAGTAGAGTCCATGTGAAGGGCTCAGAGAAATAGAAACCCCATATAGAGGAGAAGATTCTGCAAGGCTGAGCAGCACATTACATGCTTTCATCAGCCTCCAGGGTGCGTGCTTGACCAGTGTGCGTGCTTGACTAGTGTGCAAGCACCTTGTTTGATCCCCCCCACCCTGCTTTAGCACATGAAGAGCCAACACCGACCTCTCTATTCACTCACTCAAGCATAAGCATTGGCTTCAAATGCAGAGACAAAAGGGGCAGCTGTTCTTATTCACAGCAAGTAGGAAAAACATCACTATGCAGAGAGATTTGGGACTTGGCAGTAATGGCGAGCCCACATGGTTCTGGCTAGTGTGTATAGGATTCAGCATATTGTGGAAAGTTGAGGCTCCCTGCAAACCAATAAGTCTCACTGGATTTCTAAAGGAGAACAGGTTCTTTACATGTGAGTCCCCATAAGAAACCATTAAGTTTCAAAACAATAACAACACATAAACCAGTAAATTAGGGGTGAGCATTTACATCATAAAATTAATTCTTTCTTGAGGATTCAGCTAAAGATTTTTTCTTAGTGATATAATATGGAATTTAACATACAACAGTTTTAGGCATGTACCAATTCCATAACATTGGTTACACCTGCAATCTGGTATCTTCAAAGGCAATAGGAAAATAAATACATGTCTGCTCGAAATTTTGTGTTTGCATGAATCTGTTGAAGATATTTTCCATTTTTTAAAAGACATAACAGCAGTTAACAGCCTAATGACTTGTAGTGGAGTTTAGTAAATAGAGATTTGTTAAAGTGTAGTTCTTAGACCAGGAGCAACAGCAGCACCAGGGATATTGCTAAAAATGCAAATTCTCAGGCTCCACCCCAGACTCCTATCAGAAACTGTGTGATGCAGTTCAGCAATATTTTTAAACAACTTCTCCAGATAATTCTGATGCAAATTAAACTTTGATGTCCACTACCTTAGCAAAAGAAAAATGTTAGTAAACAATTTATACTACATATTATTCTAAAACATTTGCTGGGATTAGGGGAGTGAATAGAGAGAAGTCTCATAAAACATATAAAAACCCATTAAAATCTGACAAATTTAATCATTGTAATGGGTTTCTTCTAGCCAAGAGGATGAAAGCATAAGTTCCTTAGTCTGACACAGAGTCTTTACACAATGTTTGCCGTCTATCTCTGCAGCCTCATTCATTAGTTCAGCCATTCAGTCACTTAACTAGAATTCATTGAGTGCTTACTACATCTGGACACCGAGTAAGTAAATAGGGAAATGCCAATAACAATAGCAAACCACCCTAACCCCCAAATACCTAACATCCAGCCCCAGGCATTCCATTCCCTGCCCTTTGGGAATTCTGAAATGTGAACATGCTTTTCCTGTTCTAAAATACTATCCTATTCCTCCTTCTTGTTTCCTTATCAGAAAGATTCTTATCCATCCCATAAGATCCAGCTCATATTGATAAAGTCTTCCCTGACTTCCTGGGTAAGGTTAGTTACTTTATATATTGGGGTCTCACAGAAATACATTCATACTACTATTTTTGCACTTATCACATGGTATTGGAAGTCATTTGTTTACATATTTTAAATCCAATTCTGAGGATCAGAGACTGACAAATTCAGTAAGTAGGAATTTGAGATATTTCTCATATGATACACAAGTGGCTTGAAGTAAACATGTGGAAGGTCACTATAGAAAATGGAGTAACATTAAAAAAATTTTCTACCTATTTTAGTTTCTGTGAAAAGGTGAACAATTCTACTTTAAACTAAAAAGGCAGAGAATAACAATAATTAGTAGTGAAGGATGCATTAAATTTGAAATGTAATTGCTTAATGTAGTGGTTTCTCAAAATTTGATCCACTTTTCATTGCTCAAGACTGACCACTAACAATTTGCCAATGATATTACATATGAGATTATTTGCAAGAAGTTGTACAAAGAAAATCCTCCAACTTTGGTATTTTTATGAGGATAACAATAAAGAATTTTGGGATATCAATGTGACAGTTAATGAAAAAGTGATTATCTTTGTGTCTAGCACACGATAAAATGCACAATGAAAAAAATTCTATATTGGCTATATTATGAAATGCTATCCTAAGAACCCTTCATCTAGATCCAATTCTGGTCAGAAAAGGCATGAGAGACATTCTAGTCCAACTTTCTCATGTTATGAGTAAAACAAATCAAGACTCAGAATGATAAAAATATCTTGACTACGAAAATTCAGTTCTGCTTTCACTAGGCTAGAAACTTCTTCACCATATCTTCATGTCTGTATTAGTTATCTATTGCTGCTATATCAATTAAGAGTAACTTAGCAGCTTAAAACAACACACATTCATTATGTCACAGTTTCTATGGAAAAGAATTTCAAGCCCAGCTTAGCTGAATTATCTGCTTCAGTGTTTCTCACAAGATGATAATCAAAGTTTTGGCCAGGGCTGTGTTCTCAGCTGAGGCTTGGCTGGGGAAGGATTAAATTCCAAGCTCACTGAGATTGTTGGCAGAATTCAGTTCTGTGTGCATGTAGGACTGGGGGCTTTGGTTTCTGGTTGGCTGTCAACCAGCAGACTCTTTCAGCTCCTATAGGCTGCCTGTAGTTCATGGTCTTGTGGACTTCCTAACATAGGCAGTCCACAATATTGCAGCTTGTTTCTTGACATCTGCAAGCAAGGGAAAGACTCCCGCAAGGCAGGCCTTACATACAACCTGTATTAGTCTGTTCTCTCGCTGCTATAAGGAAATACCTGAGGCTGGGTAATTTATAAAGAAAAAAGGTTTAACTGGCTCACAGTTCCACAGACTGTGCAGGAAGCATGACAGCTTCTGCTCAGCTTCTGGAAAGGCCTCAGGAAACTTATGATCATGGCAGAAGGCAAAAAGGGAGCAAACACCCGACATGACCAGAGCAGGAGGAAAGGGGAGGGGTGCTACACACCTTTAAACAACCAGATCTCATAGAACCCTATAACAAGAACAGCACTAGGGGAACAGCACTAAACCATTCATGAAAAACCACCACCATGATCCAATCACCTCCTACCAGGCCTCACCTCCAACATTGGGTATTACAATTTTACATGATATTTGGGTAGGGATACAGATCCAAACCATATCATAATCTTATGCAGGTAATCCTGTATATGCATCACATACATCCTATCCCCTTTTCTGTGTTCTGTTGGTTAAAAGCAAGTCATATGGCCATACCTGTGATGGTTAATACTGAGTGTAAACTTGACTGGATTGAAGCATACAAAGTATTGATCCTGGGTGTGTCTGTGAGGGTGATGCCAAAGGAGATTAACATTTGAGTCAGTGGGCTGGGAAAGGCAGACACACCCTTCATCTGATGGGACCATCTAATAAGCTGCCAGCAAATAGAAAGCAGGCAGAAAAACATGAAAAGGTGAGATAGGCCTAGGCTTCCAGCCTACATCTTTCTCCTGTGCTGGATACTTCCTGCCCTTGAACATCAGACTCCAAGTTCTTCAGGTTTGAGGCTGGAATTGGCTCTTCTTGCTCCTCAAGCATGCAGACAGCCTATTGTGGGACCTTGTGAACATGTAAGTTAATACTTAATAAGCTCCCTTAAATATATATATATATGGAATATAAATATTCTCTATATATATTCCATATACATATATACATATGGAATGTATATATGTGTATATATGTGGAATATATATAGAGAGAATATATATATTACCTATATATATTCTCTCTATATATAGAGAGAGAATATATATATTCTATATATAGAGAATATATATGTAATATATATATTCCATACATATACATATAATATATATATTCCATACATACACATACATGGAATATATATATTCCATGTATGTGTATGTATGGAATATATATATTCCATGTATACCATATACATACATGGTATATATTCCATATATACACATACATGGAATATATATATTCCATACATATACATACATGGTATATATTCCATACATATACATACATGGTATATATTCCATACATATACATACATGGTATATATAATATATATTTATAATATAAATATATATTATGTATATATATTTATATGTGTGTATGTATTTATATATGGAATATATATAGAGAGAGAATATACCATATATATATTTGGGCTATATATATGAATATAGTGAATATATGAATATAATATATATAATATAAATATATATGATATATACACACACACACACACACACACACACACACACACACACATACTGTTCTATTAGTTCTGTCCCTCTAGAGAACCCTGACTAATACAATACCCATACTTATAAAGTATGCAATACTGGAGAGAGGAATCATGGGGGCCCTCCTAGAGTCTGTCTGCCACAGGATCTGATAGAACTTCCATTTATTTAAACATCCTGCCTTTTTATCACTGATTAATTCTTCTTCATTTTTTGCTTCCAGCAACCAGCTATTATGCTTTTGAAAAACAATTTACTAACCATCATTATTCATCACAGGTCAATTTTTTTCTACCCTGAGGATGAGTGTCATTTGGATAGAAAACATTTCTAATCTCCCAAATTTGATGATAACACTGAGTTTCTGTTAATTTACTTTTTTTCTGCTGTTCTGCAAGCGTTAACAAATATAACAGTATAACTAAGTGTTAATCCGTTACCACATTCAGTGCTTTACCTCACCAGATTTTATATTTGTATCATGTACTCTGTCTTGAAATCTGAATGTATCTTTTTGAGCCATTCCTTTTTCTGATTCTCCCAGGCCTGTTTTTTCTTATTAAATACATTTTTAGAGCCATTTTAGATTAATAGCAAAATTGAAGAAAGGTACAGAGAGTTCCCAAGTACCCCTGCCCCTCCACATGCACAGCCTCCCCCATTATCAGCATCCTCCACCAGAGTGATACATTTGTTACAATTGATGAATCTGCATTGAGACATCATTATCACCCAGAGTCTATAGTTTACATTGTGGTTCACTGTTAGTGTTGTACATTCTTTTGGTTTGTAATAATAACATGTATCTACCATTGTAGCATCATATATGGTATTTTCACTGCCCTAAAAATTCACCATGCTATGTCTACCCAGCCCTCCCCCTCCATCCTTTCTAACCTCTAGCAACTACTGTTCCTTTTACTGTCTCTATACTTCTGTCTTTTCCAGAATGTCATATAGTTGAAGTTATATGTTGTCTTTTCACATTGGCTTCTTTTACTCAGTAATGTAAATATAAGTTTTCTCCATATCTTTTCATGGCTTGATAATTCATTTCTTTGTATCACTGAACAATAATCCATTGTCTGGATGAACCACAGTTTATATATCCACTTACCTCCTAAAGAACAACTTGGTTGCTTCCAAATTTGGGCAATTATGAATAAAGCTGCTATAAAGGTCTGTGCACAGATTGTGGTGTGGATTTAAGTTTTCAACTCATTTGAGTAAATACCAAGGAGCACAATTGCTAGTTCATTTGGTAAGAGTGTATTTAGTTTTCTAAGAAACTGCCAAACTGTCTTCCAAAATTGCTATACCATTTTGCATTTTCACTGGCAATAGATGATAGTTCCTCTTCCTCCACATCCTTGCCAGCATTTGATGCTGTCACTGTTCTGGATTTTGGGCATTGTAAAAAGCGTGTAGAGCTATGTTATTTTTGTTTCAGCCTACATCTCCCTGATGACATATGATGTTGGACACCTTTTTTATCTACTTATTTGACATCTGGATGTCTTCTTTGGTGAGGTGTCTGCTAAAATCTTTGGCCCATTTTTACCATTGAGTTTTAAGAGTTCATTGTGTATTTTGGATTGCAGTCCTTTATCATATATGTTTTTGGAAAATGTTTTCTTCCATACTGTTGCTTTTCTTTTCATTCTCTTGACAGTATTTTTCACAGAGCACAAAGTTTTAATTTTAATGAAAAGCATCTTGTTAATTCTTTCTTTCATAGATTGTGCAAAGACAGTGTCATGTCTAAAAAGTCATCACCAAACCAATGTCATCTAGATTTTCTCTTATGTCACCTTCTAGAAGCTTTATAGTTTTGCATTTTTACATTTAAATCTTGATTTATTTTGAGTTAATTTTTGTGAAAAGTACCAGGTCTATGTTTAGATTCATTCTAGATTCATGTGGATGTCCAATTGTTCCAAATCCATTTGTGGAAAAGACTATTCTTCCCCTATTGCTTCGTCTTTGTTTCTGTAACAAAGATTAGTTTGACTATATTATGTGGCTCTATTTCTGGACTCTTTATTCTGTTCCATTGATCTACTTATCTAATCTTTCACTAGTACCACACTATCTTAATCAATGAGAGTAAGTCTTGAGGTTATAGTGTGTCACTGCTCCAACTTTGGTCTTTTCCTCCAATATTGTGTTGTCTGTTCTGAGTCTTTTCCTCTCCATATAAAGATTTGAATCTGTTTGTTGACATTCACAAAATAATGTGCTGGCATTTCTATTTGAATTGCATTGAATTCATAGATCAAGTTCAGAAGAACAGATATCTTGAAATATTGAATAATCTTATCCATGAACATGGCATATTTCTCCATTTATTTACTTCTTTGACATTTTAACAGAGTTTTGTAATTTTTCTCATATAAATCTTGTACATATTTTGATGGATTTATTCCTATGTATTTCATTTTTGTGGTGCCAATGTGAATACTATTGTGCTTTTAATTTCAAATTTTACTTGTTAATTGCTGGTATATAGGAAAACAATTGACTTCTGTTTATTAATCTTATATCCTGCAACCTTGCTACAATTGCTATGAGTTCCCAAAGTTTTTTGCTGATTTCTTTAGATTTTCTACATAGAGAATCGTATGGTTTGCAAAGACAGTTTTATTTCTTCCTTCTCAATCAGCATACCTTCAGTTTCCTTTTCTTGTCTCATTTCATTATGACTTCCAGTAAAATGTTGAAAAGAAGTGTTGAAAGGGGACATATTTATATTCCTGGTCTTAGGAATTTTCTAGTTTCTCACCATTAAATATGATGTAGCTTTTTCTAGATATTCTTTATCAAGTTGAACAGTTTAACTTACATTTCTAGTTTAATGCCTCAGGATTTTTTACCCATAGGAGAAATTGTTCTTTTCATGTCATTTTTTTGCCACAGTTTGGCTCTTAGTACGTATTCTTTCTCTACACTGTATCTCAGATGGAATCTTCCTCCCTACTGCCACCACTGCTGTCTCATCACATCTCACCTGAATAGCATAGCAGCTTTCTCCTCAATTCAATTGAATGCACTTCCTCTCTCTTCTGTTCTGTTGTTCCACACATTAAAGTCACACTTTCCTCCTAAAGCACTGGATTTATTTTGTCACATGGCTTTCTTTTGCCTGTCATATTAGAATTAAATATTTAGGATCTGTTATCCATTCTCTCCAATCTACCCTCCCAGCTTTTCAATGTGCCTGGAGTAAGTGTTTAAGATTTGTAGGAAGGAAGGAATGAAGGAGGAAGGAGGGGGAAAAACAGAATGCAAGGAAGGCAGGAGGTTAAAAGTTGTAACTTTTTATATTTGTTTTATCTCCACCTATGCTTTCCAAATTGTGCGATAGAAAACACTGCTTTTATTCCAAGCATGTCATTACACTTGTTTTTACCTCCATTATTTTCCTATGCCACATTTGGATTATTCAACAATACTGGATCACTTCTGCTAAGAAAACTAAAAATCACCTCTCTATCCCCATTGACCAGATGGCAATCTCTGCTCTAATCACTACACTCCTGGACCACTTCAACCTAATTTCCATTTAACCTCACTACTCTCAGTCTATGTCCTTTCTAATCAGCAGAAAATACTGCTGCCAAAACCAGCTTTATTGCCTGCCAGTCCTCAAACCCTGTGTTTGCTCCCTGTCACTACTGTACAAAATTCAAATTCTTCATAATTGATTTTCTGGCTCTTCAGATGAGTTCCTCTGCCGAGAATTCAGGCAAACTAAGGTCCATTACCGCCCCCCGCCCCACGTGTTGTCTCCACTTTTATTGTCAGGTTGAATAGCCACTGGTTCCCAAATTAATTTACAGCTTTACATTTTTATTTTTCTTCTGAATTATCCAAGTTTACTTTCATTTATACCTCTTTAAAAGTCTACTCTGGCCAAATAAGAATGGAAAAAGTCATCCACCCAGGATTATCCTTAGAAAAAAATGACCTATTTGATTTTTCCATTCCAAGATTATCACCTTACTGGTAACAGGTGAGGCCCTCTCTCACACCACCTCCTCCTACAACACAGAATAAGCATAGCCAGGAAATTAAAAAAGAAACAAACACACGGTAATAAACTGAAATATACTTTACAATATAGTTTTTTTTGACGATAGGTCTTAAGAAAATCACATCACTTCTTTCTAACTTCTTTCCTGTGTCAGTACACTGTGATTTCTTCATGATCATCAAATGATAAAAGTGCATTGTTATATTTTGTTAAAGGATAAAAATATAAAATGCGATATTCGAATAAAACTGAATATTTGGCTATCTTTCTATTAAAAGGGCCTAAAATCACTTCTATTATAAAATGTATTACTACATGTATTAATATGTTTTACCTTTGTTTAAATACTGGTTTAACTCCTATTAGAACTCATAAGCTGTAATTCACAATGCATCAGAAAAGAAATATTCCACTACTATTTTTTAAATAAATATTTTCATAACGGCTAAAAGTAGGATGGAAGTAATAAACAAAAATAACTTTGCTGTTTTTCTCAGCTCTTCATAAATTTGCATCAGAGTTTGTAGATGATACAAAAATCATTGAGACAAAGTATTCTCATAAAAACACTATTTCTCACCCTCCCGTTTTGTTATATAAAAATAAACAAAGCTCTGTGAGATAAATGAGCACAAAATAAATTGCCTTTAAATAAGGTAGTTATTTTTTTCACAGTCACTCAGAAGTTTTATTATTTTAATGAAGGTCATTATCACTTCACATATAAAAATTACGTAACATGAGGGCCGGGTGCGGTGGTTCACACCTGTAATCGCAGCACTTTGGGAGCCTGAGGTGGGTGGATCACCAGGTCAGGAGATCCAGACCATCCTGGCTAACACAGTGAAACCCTGTCTCTACTAAAAATACAAAAAATTAGCCGGGCATGGTGGCAGGCGCCTGTTGTCCCAGCTACTCAAAAGGCTGAGGCAGGAAAAGCACTTGAACCTGGGAGGCGGAGGTTGCAGTGAGCCGAGATCACACCACTGCACACCCAGCCTAGGCGACAGAGCAAGGCTGTCTCAAAAGAAAAAAAAAAATATATGTAACATGAAAAAGTCAGTTATGTGATGCCAGCTCCAGTAGTATCACAAGACGAACTATGCATTTGATACAGGAAACATTTTTATGGTTTTAAATGCCCAACCTATTGTTGGAGCATTTAGTATAATTTGAACTCATCACAGTGAACATTATGCATCACAATGCAGATGTTAAAGAAACCTGATCTGGCCAGTATTTACACTGAACTTCTATCTCAAATCACATTCTTTAAAATTATCCATTCAGAAGTGTGCTAAGTAAAAACAGGGTCGTTTGTATAGAATTCTCCTGCCTTGGGGAGTACATTTATGAGCCACATGACATTTTGGTCAACCACAGACCACATATACAATGTTGGTCCCATAGATTATAATACTGTTTTTTTCTGTATGTTTTCTAGGTTTAGACATGTTTAGATACACAAATAGCACTTTGTTACAATTGCCTACACCATTCAGTACAGTAACATTTTGCACAGGTTTGTAGTCTAGGAGTGATAGGCTATACCACATAGCTTAGGTGTGTAGTGACCTATACCATCAAGGTTTGTATAAGTACACTCTGTGATGTTCAACACTGACAAAATTACCTATGGATCCGTTTCTCAGAACCATCGCTAAATGATTCACGACTGTTTACTGTAGGTTGGAGAGAGGCATTTAAACCAAATATTCCAAGGTGATGTGGTAGGTAGTGTTATCGAAAAAAGCCCAGATAATAGGGTGACTCAGATAAGGAACACTTAACTCACCCTTGGAAGATGAGAGAAGGCAAGGTGAAGGTGAGGTACTTCTGTCTGAGCCTTGAAGGCTGAGGAGTTATTCGGAGTAGTAGGTGAAGGGGAGAAGGGAAAGGGCAGGCATTTCAATCAAACACAGTTTGGCATTTGTGTGGCTGGAGCACAGGGAGTGTCATACCAGAGGAAGCCAAAGAGGTTCCAGATGCTGGATGTGGATGCATTAGCACACTGTTCTTTACATCTCCAGTTAGTTAGACCCTTCCTGTCTTAAGACCCATAGAGAAAATGCACCTTATGAATCCAAGCGGGAACAGTATACAATATAAAGTCCTCTAAATTGCATCTGTTTCAGTCCTGCCTACTTGCTTGTAAACTGTAAGAAAAATAAAGGTCCATTTTTAAAATAATTTGTAAAACACATTTTTATAAAAGCTGTCCTTGCCATAAAAATCAGTAACCCAAGTCAATTACCCTAAATCTGCATCTTGTACACCCACATTCCAAGTGTTTAAGGCATTTGTTTAAAAGCACGTTTGCATATATGAATATTTAACATAGAGTATGTAATTAAACAAGTCTATGTGTGTGTGTATATATATTTACTGAGCATTATCTTTAGCAGAAAATAATGGAATGTTCTTCACCCTGGCATTCATGATTCTGTTGTCCTGGCACATATGGTGAGTAGGAATAGTACTTGAGGCTCACTCAAGCAGTCGCTTTAATGAAACCATCACAATCAGGCACTCTGCAAAGCAGTATTCTGTTCCTCTGTTCATTAAATCCACCCCCCAACCCTTTCAACTTTGCATAAATTGCATAGGCAGTGTTATTTACCAATTGGAACCGGCAGGAGTAAATTAGCACCGGCTGATTGAGAGACTTTTGCCCAGTGAACTTTATGTTCCCCCATTGAATCCATTTATTGTTGCCATTCCTGCTTTGGAATATGACTTCCCTAGAAAGCATTTCTTCATTCAGCCTCTGTGCTGGAAACAGACAACAGCTTGAATCCAGCAGCTGCTCTTGAACAAAGCAGGTAGAGAGGCAAGAAAGGCTGTTGAATAAGCGCATCATGACATAATTACAGTAAATCTCCAGAGTGACCTGCACACATTCAATGCCATATGGTTATTTTTGGTGCTAGAAACGTGTAGCTGGAAGCCATAGTTTAATCTAGTCACTTTCTGAAGCTTCCTGCTAGCATGAAATTGATTTTTTTACCTAGAAAATTAACATGAATATTTATTGACAGAAGTGAAGACTATATTTGCACAGTCAGCTAAGAGTGCCAGTAAATTTAATAAAAATATTTGGGTTTTGTTTTACCCAAAAGTATACAAATAGGTGATAGAAGGTTTTGTTTTCTTTTGTTATGGAGTTATTGACTTTGTTTGTTTTGTTTTTCAAGCTCTAGCAGTACCTTTATAATATGTCATATATGCCCTTAAACCATCTCCTCTTCCTCTTCCTCCTTGTTTTTTTATTGGATAGTGTTTTTTCAGTAGTGCATGGAAAGACTGTTCTTTGCTTCTTTTAATGTCTTCATTTGTCTTTAACTAGGTAAACAGGATTTACTGCTACTGTAGCCTACCCAGAAAAAAAAAAAAAAAGTAGAACCTCAGAACAGATTTTCAATATGGATGATACCTTGTGGTCCATCAGGGATTAATAAACAACCCTTTCTGCCTCTGCTTCTGAAAATACTTTAGACTGCAGAAGATTTAGATACAAACGTATATGTCAGAGAGATTGACCAGCTCAGAACACCAGCCATCAAAACTCATTTAAGGGTTTCTTAGGGCAAATCTATTCTTACCAGGACAATAGCATGAATCTCAGACAAATATTTTAAAGATCTCATAACTCTCTTGCAAGAATTTTCCTTGAACTCCACTTATTGATTTGATTCTGAGAGCTTTATGAAGGTTAAATATTGTTCTGTGCATTCACATAATGCAATGGTCTTATATTGATAACAGTAGCCTGAGTAACCAAATTTTAAGCCATGTCTATTTTAAAACGAGAGTTCTGGCAGATATGAAGAAATCTGCTTTGTGACTTGAAAGGACATTTATTTTCAGAGGACTATGTTGCATTAAAAAATATTTCATTTTCCTATTACCTTAAGTGAAAAAGGAAATGGAATGCAAACTCGGCTAAAGTAGGAGGGTTCAAAGAACACATAGGTTCATATAGGAAGGAGGGCTGCAGGAACAGAAAGATGTGCTATCTTTTCTCACCCATCATAAGGGCCATGGCCAACACTCCTCTAAGTAAAGACTGGTTAACAAGAGAAAGGCATAACAAATTTATTTAAGCAAAATTTTATGTAGCATGATGGCATTCAAAATGAAGACCCAAAGATGCAGGGGAAACTGCTTTTGTGCTTAGGTTCCTTGAAGAATGGACAGCCTTGTAGACATGTGATTGGACATAATGGTGGGATCTAATGGCAATAGACTGAGAGGGCAAACTCATCTGTCTGTTCAGATTCTTCTTGGTCTCTCTGTGTAGCATTTCATCCTCTCAGGTAGGAGGAAGGACCTCTGTGAGAGTCTTCAGGGAGAAGGTAAAGAGTGATCTTTCTAGATTTGATTGCTTGCTTTGGAGGAGAGGGGTTCTAGCTTCCATGACCTACCTTGGAGAAGATGAATTCTGGTTTGTATGAATCACTTTGCATGCGAATGTGAAGTGGGAGACAGGAGGAAAGGAGAAGCTCAGAGAGAGAGTTTGCTTCTGAGGCTGCTTCTGAGGTTTTCCAATTTCCTTTCATTAAAAGTACTCAGTATGCCTAAGTGCCATATTTTGGGGCATCATTTTCCGAGCCCCAAAAGGGCCACATACAAACTGGTTTTGCTTCAGAGTTTTCTCCCTGCCGCAAGCCACCTCCCATGCCCTGAGACCTGCGGGATTGAAAATAGGCCTCCAGATTTGCTGTCTACCGGACAAAAAATGGATGTTCCTCTTATAAGCCTGATATTGCCTCATAGCTGGTCTTTCTTGTGCTATCATCATGGGAAAACACATAAATCCCTCATAACAGAAGCAAATACTTAGCTATCTGTGTCACCCTGACAAGTTAAATTGCTGAAACCTCAAGCATGTTTAGGTGTCTTCTTGAGAATCAAACCCAATTGATATGTTGTTTTCTGCGCTTGATTGTATAAATTTACAAAAAAGTAAAAGGATCTATTTTTTTTTTTTTTTTGCAGGAAAATAAGTAGCTGTATAGGTCAAGAAGATTGAAATAACAGAATTTAGGGAACTTGTTCCACAGTTGAAACAATCAGTACTTATTTAGGCTACTGTAATTTGTTTGACACTTGCATGAATAGGGGTTCCAAACAAGGTCACTTGCGATTTAGTAAGTGCCTCAGTAGCAAAGAAAACTAAAAGATGGATTTTTTTCTATTGACTCCCTGCATGACCTTCAATGAGTTATTTGCGCATAGCTTTTGTTACCTCCATTATAAAATAAAAATCATAATATTAATCGTTTTTCCCCAGGGTTTTCTTTAAATCTTGAAAAGTTTTTAAAAATTAAAGTGCAGTATAATCATTAAGGGTCTAAGAGTCAGAACACATAACCTGGGCATCTGCAGAATCCCTAGGTCTTAAAATTCCCAAAACAAATCAACTAGATTTTCACAATGTAAAGGTAATGAATATGACAACAGTAGTGGTGAGGTGAGATGTAGGAATCAGAAGAAGAAGGAAAAGATGTCTTGTGTTGAAAAACACAATTAAATTAATTAGATGATGGTGTTTCTGGCTTAATCCTTGGTTACTCAACAGATTTTTTAATCTAGTGGCTCATTAACCATGTAATACCTAACTTATATTCTAAGATTTTCATCACAATTTGTTTCTTCATATAAAACATCTATTATTTTTTCATATCGCAGTTATGAGTACACTTCTGTGTCTTTATCACACTAGAGCTCTCCTAAATGATAAACATTATGACAATTTAATATTTACTCTGTATAAGCTATGCTTTTATAAAGTCCAGCAGAAACTGATGCAGGATTTCAGCCTGCAAAATAAGTGTAGGTTAATAGGCATTTGTTTTTTACTTGCAGCACTTCAGCTAACTTTTCCAGTCTATATTGTTTCTGTTTCAAATGCTACATTTTATTATTCCTATAAAGCAAACATTAGGTAATATTTCTATTGTATACTAACAGGGATCAGCAAAAGATGTATGTACTAGAATATATTCTCTAAGAAGAATTCAGGGTTTCATTTAGTCCTGCCGCTAAAACTCCTATATCTTACACACTGGCACCACATAGACTTGAAATCCATCTTGGTGGCTGGTCTGTCTAAATGAGTCAGCAAGGATGGTGTGTATCTTACATTCAGAAGTCTTAGTTTGATGGGGTTGTACGATCCCTGACTTCATTACAAGTACACCTGTGACTGAACAGGTGATGAAACATGGAGCAAATACACAGAGACAGATGGATTCAGACTGGCATAATTGTAGTCTTACTTCATTATTATTTTCCCAGGCTCCAGGTGATTTCTATTTTTCTTTATAGCATCACTTGTCTCAGGAAGTCCCAGTGGACCTTGAAACAGAAGAGAAAGATGCATCCTGGTTTTTATCTAAGCCAGTTTGCAGTGTGGGCACTTCAGAGGGTTGTGCTATGAAAAAGCAATTAGCTTCTTGAGTCTAGGGTGCCATTTAAAATATCTAAGCTACTGTGCTTCATCATAAAATTGACCTTTTTAATTTTTTATGTTAGAAATCTCCACTAAAAGTGTTAGCATAAAAAAATGTGCAGCTCCAGGGAAAATATGAAAGGCTTGGGAAGGAGTAGTGAAAGTCTGTGTTACCCTGAAGAAAATTTGAAATCAGCTCCACTTGGATATAATAAATACCATGTCATGAAGTACCCTGTGCTTAATTTTTAAATAATTGGTATCATTAAGTAACATAACAATGACATAGCAACACCAGTTTTGCATAAGTAGGCAGGCAGTGTATCTTAGATTTACAACCGACTTACAATCTTGCAGGATAATTACTTTGCTCTCTAGAAAAGAAGTCCTTTTCTCATTACCTTTGACTGTCATTCCTATGCCATAATCATCTTAATGTGATTGTAATTTATGTATTGTGTTTTTCAAAGCTATATCAGATTTGCCATTTTAATTTTCCTGTCCAACTCCAAAGTTTCAGTGGGAAAAAGTCAACGTCAATTTACAAAACGTAGGGGGAAGTTATTTAGGAACAAGAGAATTTCCACAGAAGGTCATCATATTCATTTATGCATCCCATAGTTTTGTCACTGCCAGTAATAACACAGAATGTTTTCTAGAGGGGTGTAGAGGTTAGTGCAGGGTAAAGGTTGAGAGTTAAATTACTTGTGATCCAGGCCTAGCAATTCCACTCATTAACTGTAGGGCTTTTGGCAAATTATTTAACCTTTTGGTCCTTCAGCTTCCCTGTCTATAAAATGAGATTGCAATCTAGTTAGTTGTAGTTGTAGATCCACCCCAAAGCTTAGTGGCTTAAAGCAATAATTTAGTAATTACCTCTCAGAGTTCTGTAGGTTAACCAAGTTTGGCTATGTGGTTCTGGCTTGAGGAACTCAGTCACATGATGTCTGGGCCTGAGGGGAAGTCATGTGGACTGAGCATTCAAGGTGGCTCACAGTTGATGCTAGCCATTGTTGAAGCTTAGCTGGAATGTGAACCAGAGTGCCTCCTGATGGCCCTGCCATATACTTCAGCTTCTCATAGCATGGCAGCTCAGTTTGGAGGGGGACGGCAACCCAGGAAAGTGCCTTCCTAGTGACCCAAGAGGAGGCTGCAAGGCCTTTATGAACCAGCCTTGTTATACGGTTTTGATCTCTGTCCCTGACCAAATCTCACGTCAAATTGTAATCCCCAGTGTTGGAGGTGGGGCCTGGTGGGAGGTGATTGGATTACAGAGGCAGTTTCTCATAAATGGTTTAGTGCCATTCCCTTGGTGCTGTTCTTGTAATAGAGAGTTCTCATGACATCTGGTTTTTTAAAAGTGTGGAGCACCTTCCCCACTCTCTTGCTGCTGCTCCAGCCATGTAAGACATGCCTGCTTCCCTTTGCCTTCCAACATGATTACAAGTTTCCTGAGGTCTCCCCAGAAGCAGAGAAGATGCCAGCATCATGCTTCCTGTACAGCCTGCAGAGTCGTGAGCCAATTAAACCTATTTTCTTTATAAATTACCCAGTTTCAGGTATTTCTTTATAGCAATGCAAAAACGGACTAATACACCTTGGAAGTCACAGATTCATGTAATGGGAAATTAGACTCTACATTCTGATGGGAAGGGTGGCAAGATCACATTGAGAAGAGCATATGGAATGGGAGAAATCATTATTTTTGTCAACAAACAAATGGGGGAACAATTACATTTCCTTTTCTTTTTCTTTCTTTCAGTTAAGTAAGATTTAGAATCCAGCAGAATTCTCTGCTCAGAAAAAATACATAAAGAAGTGTGTATTTATAAAGATGATTTATCGATATATTTTTAATTTCACATTTTGATGACTTCCAACACACCTCATTACTAATATTCAGAACAACCTGCTTAAGTGAGTGACTCTAATTATTGTTCTACACATGAATATTATGGGAGTTAGATGAAAAATCAGGCAAAATCTTAGAAGTCACAAGGGAAAATAACTCATGCATTAAATATTTTAATAGGATCTCACCAAGATGTGGGAAAGAACATTTAAAAATACACTTCCCTCTGAATTGATTAGTATTACTTCTGTTCGCTCAGAATCTCATTAATGAAAACTCAAAGTGTTGAGTTACATCAGCAACTTTTTGCCAAAGCAAGAGGTTCATAACAACTGAGAAGTTTATTATAGTCACAGTTAGAAGACTTTATGTCCAAAACACAGTTCAGTCCCTTGTAAATGTCAGATTACAAACCTCAGTTTGCAAATGGGTAACAGTATTTTATTTCTGCCAGCTTTCTTCAAAAATGAACTAATAATTAAAGATAAATGATAGAAGCTATAACTGACCAAAGACAGGAAGTTGTGCCCCCAAAACAGTTACTAGCCAGCTCACTGATTTTAACCTAGAGGCTAACTTAACTTATAAGCATTTAGAGCAAGAGGAACATAAAATTTCTGACATGAACCTAGAGAGAAAAATACACCTAAAAAAATTGAGTGCCCTAATACAGAAGCTCATTTTCCAACCTCAGATAACAGATTAGGGTGCTTTCCTTAAATTCCAATAAAAAGGAATCTACTAGGCTCTTCATATAGAAATTGTCTCTTTCCTGACACACACACACACACACACACACACACTCTCTCATCATGAAAGAGACAATTTCTATGTATGCGTGAATATAGAAAATACACACACATATAAATATTGTAATTAGAACATTTTAAAATAATGCCCTAGAATTCTGAAATTTTGGAGACTAAGTTCTGTAACACTTCCAAAACTAAGCTTATTATAAAATATTTTATTTATTCATACACTGTGATCATCTAGAATTTTTGGCATAAAAATTCTAGTTGATAAAACTAAGGAGAGAGATACACACACACACACGCACACACACACACACACACACACACCGGATGACATACATATAAAAAACTGAGCTAAAACTTTGGAATTTCATTTCTTTTTTTATAATGTTTTACCTTCTCTTGATTATTTCTGTTGTAATACTATAAGAAAGGATGTTAAATTGTGTGATCTTTCAAAGTCTTTCTTAAGGACAATTAATTAATGGTGACTTTCTTTGTTTGAGCTGCTCAACTTAAACATCTGTCCATATGAGTTTTATACATAATGTTGAAAAATATACTCAGAAGAGTATTAAGTATGTATTTTTGCGATTTGTTCTCTGTCAACTAAAAAGTTGATATAGCTTTATAAAAATTAAACAATACAAACTGGCACAATAAATAATAAACTGAAAACAACTAATTAAAGGAAGCAGAGAAGTAAGTGATAAAGTGAGTTAACTGGGATCTATTACCTATAACACTGATATAATAATTGTTTCTCAGGAGAAAAAGAAGCATGACAATAGATATAAAGAAAATTTTATTTTTCTAATCAACAGGAGCGTACATACATTTACATGTGTTTCTCTTCTTTGTGTCATTATCAAAGTTTGAGTCTTAGTATTTTTTACATTAAGAACCTAGAAATTTTTTGGAACTACTTTTGGTCAGAACCAGTTTTGCCATAAGGATCAATCACTTCATTTTTTTATTTATCAAGATTATTGCATGGCCTAATAGAACATGTTTTAATAAAGACATCACAAATTTTTAGGATATTTTGAGAGTAAGATTAGTCCTGTCCCTCCATCCCAGGTTGGGCTGGGCATTTGTGCTAACCTCTGGAACTACAGTGAGCCCATAAAGGAGAACTATGCAGATTCAAAGACTTTGGACATGGCTACAGTTTGAACTATTGGTATGTTCAAAACATTCCTCATGGAAGAATAGTTTGAAGTTGGGTTACATTGAACTGACAGATACAACAATTTCAAATACTGCTATATATATATTTGCCTATCAAATATGCATGATAAAAATGACAAAATATCAAAACCAGGCATGGGAAGCATTCCAACTCCATTAGAATCCTTTTTGAATATTTGATATTCATTTTTTTGTGTGGATAAATAGATCATATTTTGAATTTCATGAAAATGCCAACCTTATAAATCATAAATATGAAACCTTGTAAATCATAAATCCAAAACTTTTTTGAGTGTGATATATTTACAGTTAAATATAAGGACAAAGAGCAAAAAGATATTTATATTGACTTGAATGATGAGTAAGCATTGTGAATTGTCTCCATGAATTCCATATCTGGCTGAGATGAACAGCCAGCAAATTCTTGCCAACACGGTTTTCATTTTCTTTCTTAATGGGGCTTTTTTAGATACATTACAGTGTTTAAGTAAAGTGTCAGAAGAAGTCAATTTGTGGCCAAGAAAACGTAGAGGAGGGGGAGAAAAGAAATAGTCTCATGATGCTTGTTTCCCACTTCCATACTCATCACACTCCCCATTTCCCCACCTTGATGCTAGTATTGTTCTTTCTCCATTAAATCATCAATGCTTATTAGCCTTCTGAGAGCCACAGAATGTAAAATTTTGAAAGCCCAACTGCCAGCACAAATGCCCTGACATCGGTCATTACAATTCCACGCCCTAAAGGCAATCAGAGCTTTTTTAGTCATTAAAAATGCAAACATAGCATTGAAACTACAGCGACATTATTTCAATGCTATGTGGGTAATTTTCCAAATGGAATATATTCCTTAAATATATGGTTTCATAAAGTTAAATTTGGCTCACTGCTTTATTCACATGATAACATTTTTATTTGAAAACAAATTAAAAGTAAACTCTGTGGGCTTAAAAGTCATCTTGAGCTCATGTGCTGGATAGAGTAAAAGTTGCATGCAAAAAAAGGGCATTACTACTTGTTTCCATCATTCTACTGGGTATATTTAAATTCAGATTCATCCAGTACTTTGTCAGCAAAGTCATAAACCTTTTACAAATGTATTGTCACCAAAAGACAAAAACTACAATCTGGAACAAACCAATGATCCTTCAAGACTACCTCTGACTGGATTTACTCTGGGAATTTTCAAAAGTAGGTATGATATGTCCTCCAAAGTGGGAAAGACTAAAGGAAAAAAAAACAACAAAAAAACAAAGACCTACATGAGAAATTTTCTTCCAGACCTTAGAGAATCAACATAAACTTTAAATCATGAGTACTGATTACCGCTTAGCATTGTTTCCTTACTTGGGCAACTTTGGAAGGTGCCTATGATGATTGTATATAGCACAAAATTCTGATATTTAGTTTGGCTATTTAATTCACACATTTCTTGATTTTCATATAATGTTTCAATAATTACATTAATCCATGCATTCAACTGTACTTTTTAGTCTGTGGTACTGTAGACAAGAGAACAAGAGAAGGAAAAAAAGATACCCAGAAGATTGTACAGACTAAACACTGGAAGCTCTGACAAGTGTGTGGAAAACACTTATCAGTCCCACGAGCACAAGCCTAGTCATAAAGGTTGATGCCTTTTGCTAAGAAGTAAAGAAGTGACTCCGTGCTGGCTCTGACATATCTGTTAGGAAATAAACAATCTTCTCAGAATACAAGTGTGAGACATAATTGAGCATCTGCCAAGAAATATAAAATTTACCAACAGATAGGGATTTGTGCCAGTTTGTGGGTGAATCTGGAATATGCCAGCAGAGATCTGGAATATATGTTTAGTAAATTCAATGTCATATAGGACATAAAAAGGCTTTTTCATGTATATCTGCCATCTGAAATGTATGTCTCTAGAAAAAAAAATAAAAATAGAAATAAAGAACTAACTAAATTTATGGTACCGAAGAGTAGTATTTGTTTTCCAGAATCATAATTGCATGTATACCAAAATGGGAGTTCTGGAAAAACGTTGGTGTAGATCATGAGAAAGGCCCAAAAGGCAAGTCACAATGACAAAAGAACTATTTATAAGAAGAGGCTCACTAACACATTGATTGAGAGAAAAAATGCACTGAGGTAAAACCAATTTGAAATGTGTCATAGATTGAAGAATAAAAATTAATATATTCATTAAACATTTCTTGAAACAATACCATGTAGCAGACACTCTGTTTAGAGCTTCCTAGAAAAAAAAATCACAAAAGACTATAGAAAGAAGAAATACAGAGCATTGGTCACAAATGTTATAATTTCTATACTCAAATTCACAGCAACTAAATAAACAATGTAAGTTGAAATTTAAGTACAGGGTTACAATTAAAATCCCACAGGTACTTATACCCAAGACAGACCAAGATGGCTGATGAATTCTGAATAGCAGTGGAAGGCTAACTTGTTCCAAATAATAATAATAAAAAAACATGTTGGAGAAGAGCATATGTCACAAATACATACCTATAAGGAAAAACCATAACCCTACTGGGAGAAAATAATAGACAATGTTTGACTGGAAACAAAAAGTGAGAGAGAGAGGAGTGAGAAAGAGACAGAGAGAGAGAGAGAGAGACGTGCATATGATACACCCTCCTGGTTGGATGTTTGCATTATCCTAACACCAATTAAAGGCAATATACCTTAATTCTGAGAGACTTTCATTATCTGAAAATCTACTATGATTTATATCCTGATAGAACCAGAGCGTCTAATACACTCTCTACTTAACTTCCTGGTGATTTTACCTCTCAGCAGGAAATGGAAACAACAGAGGGAGTGCTATCTGCATTTAATTTTTACCACCCAAGAAAAACCAATTAACAATAAAATGGAAAAATGGAAACTTTCTGTGAATATATTTATTTAATACTTATAATGACCATAGGAAGAAATAATTTATTTAATTACAAATCTACCCTCTTTTCTTTAAAAAAAGTTTCTGCTAAAAGATAGATGTCATCCAATGGCCAAAAGCTCTTAAAAGGAATATGGCTTGGAAAGAAACTAGATGCTTCCAAGAACAAGATCATGATCACACAAAGACAAATGTGATAAATAGTACTAGGAAGGAATAACTAAGTAGATAAATGAATCTGGATGCACAGAGTTTTCTATAAGCTCTTAATGAAAAGGAATACATATAAAAGATTGGGAGTCCTTTAGTTATTATTAAGCAGTGCAAGCTGAGGCCTGTGAAAAATAAACAGAATAATAAAAATGACTTTTTAGTATGTTCAGAACAAGATAAAAATAAGAGAGGAATAATCTGCTGTTAGATGGCTTATAAAATGATACCACATGACACAGAAAATGCAGAAATTCCCAGCTGCTTTCTTGTTGTTGTCTGTCACAGACTGATGTGGGGATAGTGAACATTGTAAGAAAGAATTGAACCCTAAGTGGAGAAAAGAAGAGTGCCTGCCATGGGTACAAGTCTCCTGTTTGGTAAAAATTGCATCCCAGGGTATTTAAAAAGTTTGTGAATAAGATGGTTGAGATGTTATCAGTAGCATTTGGGGAATTATGAAGATGGAGTCATTGGGAGACTAGAAACAGGCAAATTATGTCCTGATTTTCAAAATCTATAAAAACAAGCTTTCTGAAGGGAACGAGTTTTTTTGTAGAGTCACAGTAAAATCATAAGACATACTGTTAAACCCTGAATTTTGAGCACCTAATGCAGAGAGCAGTCACTAAGGCTCAAAATAGTACGGGTTAGAAAAGAGTTTATGGAAATAACTCAATTAAGCATATGTTATTTTAAAACAGACAGTCAAAGAAGTAGCATGAAGAGCTCTGAAGCAGCAGAGGAAAGCCTAGAGAGAATGTAGACTTCACCAAATTGAGGGACCCACAAATCCTCCACACATACTGTTGGTGACCATTATGTTTTTTGAGAGATTGATAATGATGACAACAAAGAGAAGGTTATCATGACTATGGCGACCTTGATGATCACAATGATAATGATTGTAGGATCTCTGGAGCGTTAAGTTCCCGAAAACAAGAACCACATTTGGTTTTTCCATTGGTCTGTTCCAGTACCTAGTACCTAGGAGGATATCCACTTGTTTTAATTGAATTGAATGATAATTAATAATAATAATACTCAACAAATGTCTAAACATCTTATGAGTCTTTACTTCACTTTATTATTACAACAAGCCTATGAGGCCTAGGTAATATTATTATCTCTATCTTACAGATGAAGAAATGAGCCTTAGGCAGGTCCTTAGCCAAGATTACTCCTAATAAATGAGAAAGTTCTAGTTCAAATCCAAGCCTATCTGATTAAAGGGCTCTTCATTGCTGTTATTATATATTGAATTAAAATAAGCGACATTTCCTTCTGGCTGAAATATGATTCTATGTCAGCTGAGACAGTTTCTTGCTCCATGGAGGTCCTCAAAAAAAACAAAAAAAAGATTGAATCAAGTCCAGGCAGAGCTATCAGAAAATCTAGAAAATTTAGAGAACAAAATGAATAAACTGAGAAGTTCCAAACAGGGCAGACTCAAAGAGCTGAATCCAGGAATAAAAGATGTGAAAGCAGATAGAAAAGTCTCAGTATAAATAAGTGGTCAAAGAGCAGCAAGTCACTTAGAACATGGATGCCACAACAACATGGCACCTAATCGTCATTTGACTCCACTGCTTAATCTGGCATGTAATGACTGTCCAACTGAAAAACTAAAATAAAATAAAACAGACTGAATGCATTAAAGGATGTTTTCTTTATTTATAGTTGGTTTTATTTTTTTTTTATTATACTTTAAGTTTTAGGGTACATGTACACATTGTGCAGGTTAGTTACATATGTATACATGTGCCATGCTGGTGCGCTGCACCCACTAACTCGTCATCTAGCATTAGTATATCTCCCAATGCTATCCGTCCCCCCTCCCCCCACCCCACCACAGTCCCCAAAGTGTGATACTCCCCTTCCTGTGTCCATGTGATCTCATTGTTCAATTCCCACCTATGAGTGAGAATATGCGGTGTTTGGTTTTTTGTTCTTGCGATAGTTTACTGAGAATGATGATTTCTAATTTCATCCATGTCCCTACAAAGGACATGAACTCATCATATTTTATGGCTGCATAGTATTCCATGGTGTATATGTGCCACATTTTCTTAATCCAGTCTATCATTGTTGGACATTTGGGTTGGTTCCAAGTCTTTGCTACTGTGAATACTGCCGCAATAAACATACGTGTGCATGTGTCTTTATAGCAGAATGATTTATAGTCCTTTGGGTATATACCCAGTAATGGGATGGCTGGGTCAAATGGTATTTCCAGTTCTAGATCCCTGAGGAATGGCCACACTGACTTCCACAATGGTTGAACTAGTTTACAGTCCCACCAACAGTGTAAAGGTGTTCCTATTTCTCCACATCCTCTCCAGCACCTGTTGTTTCCTGACTTTTTAATGATTGCCATTTTAACTGGTGTGAGATGCTATCTCATTGTGGTTTTGATTTGCATTTCTCTGATGGCCAGTGATGGTGAGCATTTTTTCATGTGTTTTTTGGCTGCATAAATGTCTTCTTTTGAGAAGTGTCTGTTCATGTCCTTGGCCCACTTTTTGATGGGGTTGTTTGTTTTTTTCTTGTAAATTTGTTTGAGTCCATTGTAGATTCTGGATATTAGCCCTTTGTCAGATGAGTAGGTTGCAAAAATTTTCTCCCATTGTGTAGGTTGCCTGTTCACTCTGATGGTAGTTTCTTTTGCTGTGCAGAAGCTCTTTAGTTTCATTAGATCCCATCTGTGAATTTTGTCTTTTGTTGCTATTGCTTTTGGTGTTTTGGACATGAAGTCCTTGCCCATGCCTATGTCCTGAATGGTAATGCCTAGGTTTTCTTCTAGGGTTTTTATGGTTTTAGGTCTAACGTTTAAGTCTTTAATCCATCTTGAATTGATTTTTGTATAAGGTGTAAGGAAGGGATCCAGTTTCAGCTTTCTACATATGGCTAGCCAGTTTTCCCAGCACCATTTATTATATAGGGAATCCTTTCCCCATTGCTTGTTTTTCTCAGGTTTGTCAAAGATCAGATAGTTGTAGATATGCGGCATTATTTCTGAGGGCTCTGTTCTGTTCCATTGATCTATATCTCTGTTTTGGTACCAATACCATGCTGTTTTGGTTACTGTAGCCTTGTAGTATAGTTTGAAGTCAGGTAGTGTGATGCCTCCAGCTTTGTTCTTTTGGCTTAGGATTGCCTTGGTGAAGCGGGCTCTTTTTTGGTTCCATATGAACTTTAAAGTAGTTTTTTCCAATTCTGTGAAGAAAGTCATTGGTAGCTTGATGGGGATGGCATTGAATCTGTAAATTACCTTGGGCAGTATGGCCATTTTCAGGATATTGATTCTTCCTACCCATGAGCATGGAATTTTCTTCCATTTGTTTGTATCCTCTTTTATTTCACTGAGCAGTGGTTTGTAGTTCTCCTTGAAGAGGTCCTTCACATCCCTTGTAAGTTGGATTCCTAGGTATTTTATTCTCTTTGAAGCAATTGTGAATGGGAGTTCACTCATGATTTGGCTCTCTGTCTGTTGTTGGTGTATAAGAATGCTTGTGATTTTTGTACATTGATTTTGTATCCTGAGACTTTGCTGAAGTTGCTTATCAGCTTAAGAAGAGTTTGGGCTGAGACAATGGGGTTTTCTAGATATACAATCATGTCGTCTGCAAACAGGGACAATTTGACTTCCTCTTTTCCTAATTGAATACCCTTTATTTCCTTCTCCTGCCTAATTGCCCTGGCCAGAACTTCCAACACTATGTTGAATAGGAGTGGTGAGAGAGGGCATCCCTGTCTTGTGCCAGTTTTCAAAGGGAATGCTTCCAGTTTCTGCCCATTCAGTATGATATTGGCTGTGGGTTTGTCATAGATAGCTCTTATGATTTTGAGATACGTCCCGTCAATACCTAATTTATTGAGAGTTTTTAGCATTAAGGGTTGTTGAATTTTGTCAAAGGCTTTTTCTGCATCTATTGAGATAATCATGTGGTTTTTGTCTTTGGCTCTGTTTATATGCTGGATTACATTTATTGATTTGTGTATATTGAACCAGCCTTGCATCCCAGGGATGAAGCCCACTTGATCATGGTGGATAAGCTTTTTGATGTGCTGCTGGATTTGTTTTGCCAGTATTTTATTGAGGATTTTTGCATCAATGTTCATCAAGGATATTGGTCTAAAATTCTCTTTTTTGGTTGTGTCTCTGCCAGGCTTTGGTATCAGAATGATGCTGGCCTCATAAAATGAGTTAGGGAGGATTTCCTCTTTTTCTATTGATTGGAATAGTTTCAGAAGGAATGGTACCAGTTCCTCCTTGTACCTCTGGTAGAATTCGGCTGTGAATCCATCTGGTCCTGGACTCTTTATGGTTGGTAAGCTATTGATTATTGCCACAATTTCAGCTCCTGTTATTGGTCTATTCAGAGATTCAACTTCTTCCTGGTTTAGTCTTGGGAGAGTGTATGTGTTGAGGAATTTATCCATTTCTTCTAGATTTTCTAGTTTATTTGCGTAGAGGTATTTGTAGTATTCTCTGATGGTAGTTTGTATTTCTGTGGGATCGGTGGTGATATCCCCTTTATCATTTTTTATTGCGTCTATTTGATTCTTCTCTTTTTTCTTTATTGCCAGCAGTCTATCAATTTTATTGATCCTTTCAAAAAACCAGCTCCTGGATTCATTAATTTTTTGAAGGGTTTTTTGTGTCTCTATTTCCTTCAGTTCTGCTCTGATTTTAGTTATTTCTTGCCTTCTGCTAGCTTTTGAATGTGTTTGCTCTTGCTTTTCTAATTCTTTTAATTGTAATGTTAGGGTGTCAATTTTGGATCTTTCCTGCTTTCTCTTGTGGGCATTTAGTGCTATAAATTTCCCTCTACACACTGCTTCAAATGTGTCCCAGAGATTCTGGTATGTTGTGTCTTTGTTCTCGTTGGTTTCAAAGAACATCTTTATTTCTGCCTTCATTTTGTTATGTACCCAGTAGTCATTCAGGAGCAGGTTGTTCAGTTTCCATGTAGTTGAGCGGTTTTGAGTGAGATTCTTAATCCTGAGTTCTAGTTTGATTGCACTGTGGTCTGAGAGATAGTTTGTTATAATCTCTGTTCTTTTACATTTGCTGAGGAGAGCTTTACTTCCAAGTATGTGGTCAATTTTGGAATAGGTGTGGTGTGGTGCTGAAAAAATGTATATTCTGTTGATTTGGGGTGGAGAGTTCTGTAGATGTCTATTAGGTCTTCTTGGTGCAGAGCTGAGTTCAATTCCTGGGTATCCTTGTTGACTTTCTGTCTCGTTGATCTGTCTAATGTTGACAGTGGGGTGTTAAAGTCTCCCATTATTAATGCGTGGGAGTCTAAGTCTCTTTGTAGGTCACTCAGGACTTGCTTTATGAATCTGGGTGCTCCTGTATTGGGTGCGTATATATTTAGGTTAGTTAGCTCTTCTTGTTGAATTGATCCCTTTACCATTATGTAATGGCCTTCTTTGTCTCTTTTGATCTTTGTTGGTTTAAAGTCTGTTTTATCAGAAACTAGGATTGCAACCCCTGCCTTTTTTTGTTTTCCATTTGCTTGGTAGATCTTCCTCCATCCTTTTATTTTGAGCCTATGTGTGTCTCTGCACGTGAGATGGGTTTCCTGAATACAGCACACTGATGGGTCTTGACTCTTTATCCAATTTGCCAGTCTGTGTCTTTTAATTGGAGCATTTAGTCCATTTACATTTAAAGTTAATATTGTTATGTGTGAATTTGATCCTGTCATTATGATGTTAGCTGCTTATTTTGCTCGTTAGTTGATGCAGTTTCTTCCTAGTCTCGATGGTCTTTACGTTTTGGCATGATTTTGCAGTGGCTGGTACGGGTTGTTCCTTTCCATGTTTAGCGCTTCCTTCAGGAGCTCTTTTAGGGCAGGCCTGGTGGTGACAAAATCTCTTAGCATTTGCTTGTCTGTAAAGTATTTTATTTCTCCTTCACTTATGAAGCTTAGTTTGGCTGGATATGAAATTCTGGGTTGAAAATTCTTTTCTTTAAGAATGTTGAATATTGGCCCCCACTCTCTTCTGGCTTGTAGCGTTTCTGCTGAGAGATCCGCTGTTAGTCTGATGGGCTTCCCTTTGAGGGTAACCCGACCTTTCTCTCTGGCTGCGCTTAACATTTTTTCCTTCATTTCAACCTTGATGAATCTGACAATTATGTGTCTTCTCGAGGAGTATCTTTGTGGCGTTCTCTGTATTTCCTGAATCTGAACGTTGGCCTGCCTTGCTAGATTGGGGAAGTTCTCCTGGATAATATCCTGCAGAGTGTTTTCTAACTTGGTTCCATTCTCCCCATCACTTTCAGGTACACCAGTCAGACACAGATTTGGTCTTTTCACATAGTCCCATATGTCTTGGAGTCTTCTCTCATTTCTTTTTATTCTTTTTTCTCTAAACTTCCCTTCTCGCTTCATTTCATTCATTTCATCTTCCATTGCTGATACCCTTTCTTCCAGTTGATCGCATCGGCTCCTGAGGCTTCTGCATTCTTCACGTAGTTCTCGAGCCTTGGTTTTCAGCTCCATCAGCTCCTTTAAGCATTTCTCTGTATTGGTTATTCTAGTTATACATTCTTCTAATTTTTTTTCAAAGTTTTCGACTTATTTGCCTTTGGTTTGAATGTCCTCCCATAGCTCAGAGTAATTTGATTGTCTGAAGCCTTCTTCTCTCAGCTCGTCAAAGTCATTCTCCATCAAGCTTTGTTCCATTGCTGGTGAGGAACTGTGTTCCTTTGGAGGAGGAGAGGCACTCTGCGTTTTAGAGTTTCCAGTTTTTCTGTTCTGTTTTTTCCCCATCTTTGTGGTTTTATCTACTTTTGGTCTTTGACGATGGTGATGTACAGATGGGTTTTTGGTGTGGATGTTCTTTCTGTTTGTTAGTTTTCCTTCTAACAGCAGGACCCTCAGCTGCAGGTCTGTTGGAATACCCTGCCGTGTGAGGTGTCAGTGTGCCCCTGCTGGGGGGTGCCTCCCAGTTAGGCTGCTCGGGGGTCGGGCGTCAGGGACCCACTTGAGGAGGCAGTCTGCCCGTTCTCAGATCTCCAGCTGCGTGCTGGGAGAACCACTGCTCTCTTCAAAGCTGTCAGACAGGGACATTTAAGTCTGCAGAGGTTACTGCTGTCTTTTTGTTTGTCTGTGCCCTGCCCCCAGAGGTGGAGCCTACAGAGGCAGGCAGGCCTCCTTGAGCTGTGGTGGGCTCCGCCCAGTTGGAGCTTTCTGGCTGCTTTGTTTACCTAATCAAGCCTGGGCAATGGCGGGCGCCCCTCCCCCAGGCTCGCTGCCGCCTTGCAGTTTGATCTCAGACTGCTGTGCTAGCAATCAGCGAGACTCCGTGGGCGTAGGACCCTCCAAGCCAGGTGCAGGATATAATCTGGTGGTGTGCCGTTTTTTAAGCCCGTCGGAAAAGCGCAGTATTCGGGTGGGAGTGACCCGATTTTCCAGGTGCGTCCGTCACCCCTTTCTTTGAGTCGGAAAGGGAACTCCCTGACCCCTTGCGCTTCCCAAGTGAGGCAATGCCTGGCCCTGCTTCGGCTCGTGCACGGTGTGCGCACCCACTGACCGGCACTCCCTAGTGAGATGAACCTGGTACCTCAGATGGAAATGCAGAAATCACCTGTCCTCTGCGCCACTCATGCTGGGAGCTGTAGACCGGAGCTGTTCCTATTCGGCCATCTTGGCTCCTCCCCCTAAACTCTAGTTGGTTTTATTTTAAGAAGCTCTATTTCTTAAGCAGAATAACATTGCATCTCACTATATAATAGAGATCAGGTTTTATGTTACATAGTGAAAAGAGGCTTAGGTCTTAAATTATAGAGTTTTTTTTCTCAGTTATAGTCAAGATATTTATCTCTGCCTTGTATACAGAAATAGTACAGATGAAAGGAGAGCATAACTAATATGTTGAATGACAGAGTAAACATTTAAAATAATAATAATAATATCATACATTTATGGAGTGTTGCCTACATATAAAGCACCACAAAAAAATAACTTTACATAACTCATTAATCTTCACAGCAATCCTATGATATAGGATTATGCTTCCTGTTACATAGATGAATAAAGTAAGACTCAACAAGATTAAATTCTTTGTACCTGGTCATAGCTATCAAGTAGAGGAGCAAATATTCGAATCCATAAAATATTTTTCTTAATCACCATAATAAACCAGCAATAAGCATGGTTCCTTCCTAAGAAAGCCTGTAAGAATGGCCTGAATTATAGTACAGAGTAGGGTGGTATGATTTAACAGATACTGGAAGATAAAGCTTCAGAGATTTCTAGTTGACAGCAAGTCCACTATCAGTCAACGCTGTGCTAAAACTTTCCAATAAAGACAAGACAAGCTTAAAGTTGCATTAAAGGATCTAAGAATTCCAAATAATGGAGGGGGTAGAGCTTACATTTCCATACTCGTAGCTTTGTGGTTTCATTTTAGGAAATGAAAATGCACCCAAAAAACGGAGATGGGAGAAAGGTTTTAGAGCCATTGTGCATAAAAAATCAGAGCTTTGAGCAAACTTAGGGTGTTAGGGTGGCTGTCTTCACATGTTAGAAAAGCAGTCTTTTAGAAGAGGAATAAGTTTACTCTCTATAACTCTAGAAATAGGAGGGTAAAATAAAGAGGCAGAATTTTACTCTAAGAAATATTTCCAATTATCAGAACTATCCCAAAATATAATAGAAGTGATCACTCTATCAATGTCAGCATTCAAGGAAATGTTGTCTGGCCACCTGTCAGAGATGCTATAGGGTCAGGGGTGATTAAAGGACCTTCAGTAGTTTTTATCTCCAAGAAGTTTATTTGCTCATCTAGCAACTTTAAAATTGGTTTGGACAAAGTCTAGCTGTTCCTAGATCTGACTGCAGCATCCTTAAGACATTCTCCTGAATGCGTCCTTTCTGTCAGTGTAATTTCTACCCCTATGGGATGTATACCTGACCCTAACTCATTGTTTCCAGCCTTTTAAATATGTGCTTTATGCACCCCTTCTCTTGCTGTAGTGGCTCTAACTTCCAGAGATTCGGATGTAATCTACATAAATATTGGAGCTGAGGGCTCTAAATTAAGCTAAAGCTTCCCAGTTTTCTTTCAAAACAGACGAGCATTATGAATACAGCCATAAAGCACAGTCATGAGTTATTCAACCAGAGGCAGCTATTTGATTGATAAATCTATTTGCAGGAATATATTAAATGATTAATGAATCTGTCATATCAACTAGGACACTTGCTAATTATTTTCAAGGTTCCAATAAATGTGATGGCAATTAATTGCACCTGCTACAATCCACTTCATGCTTGGAGCTGACATGGAAGTTTAACTTTCATTTTTCACTGGTGAAAAGCCTTTTGTCTATTCTTGGGCCTTCTCCACACCTGCCAGATATAGGAAAACAACATTTGTGTGTGGCAGAGTCCTACTTATTACGGGCTACACATTTAAAGCCTTTGCAGTCTTCCCTACAAACGAAAGTAAGAGAAGTTTCGCAGGCCGTCTAAAGAAGAAAGTGGTGTACTTACAGATCTAATTTTCATCTGAGCATAGTACATTGTAGTTCCCTGAGGCAGGCTTTGATATCACAAAAGCAATTTCTGGCAGATTGGAAGGGCTATTCCCTTCTGGGTTTCAAGCATCTGACAGGAGATCAGAGTGGAGGTCCTCCTCTCAGGGGAACTGACAGGCTATTTCCAAGAAACGGAGGCTCTGAAGCAAGAAGCAGGTATGCCTGACTGAGTAATGGGAGACTCCTCATTTAAACTGGGAGAGCCACAGCCCAGTGATGGCAGTAGGCATTTATTCATGTCAGAGGAGCCTTGCCAGCTGTCCCAGAAACCATGAGAATGATTCAGAGAGTGCTGAGCACCCGGGTCACAGAAATCATTAGGGTTTAACCCTATAAATGCCACCCACTCCCTGAAAATGCTGGGAAGAGGTAGATTTCATTCCATTACCCCTTGTGGCAATTCCTCTCTGGAGCCCTCTAGAATACAGACATTTTCTCCATTTTCTCTTCTAGCCAGATCACACTGGTTATCCTCCCTAACTTGTAGCTGCTAAGAATGAAAATCAGCTATGGAATCTCCCTTCATGCTCCACATCAAGGTGTGACAAAGCTTGAGAGATCTTGTGGCTTGCCATCCCAAACATGATGCTTGACCACATATTAGGAGAACGGGGTCACATGGGAGATACAGGTGAAAGGCTGCTCCAGGACCTCATTGTTCACGCGTCTTCTGACCTGCTATCTTCATGTCCCCTTCTCCTCTCCCCTCCCTGTGGGGCTAGAACTAGACTTAGCCTTGAGCTCTGCTCCGTGAGCCACTCTCCCCTGAGCCACTCTTCCCTGATCACTCTGTAAGCAGATCTAGGAAGAATCCATGCCCCTTCTGAAGCCAGGCTGGTTTGACACCATAGAACAGTCTCACCCAAAGCAGCCAGCAATATCACCAGGTGGGAGTCACTGAGGTGGACGAGCTTGGAGAATCAAGGACCACGATGTACATTGCTAGCAGCTGCAGAAGACCATGGACCATCCCATAAATTCCTGCCCCCTGTCACTGCCTCTGCCCAACTCCACAAAACTGCTACCTGATTTCTTCCTCTTCTTTTTCTTTAGCCTCCTTCACTCTTCCTCTTCCTCCTCCATATACCCAAACCAAAGGGAAAATATAACATCTAGATTCTGGCTAAAGCGAATGCTCTAGTGCCATTTTTTGGCTAGAGTTAAGGAAATGTGGTTGATAGAGGAGGCACAGGTGAAATCACTCTACTACATATTTTCACTCCAGAATAAGAACAATGTCTCAAAGTAAAGCCCCGTGTTTGGGCTGTTCTTTGGTATTTTCCTATCAGCTTGATAAAGCTTATTTTTGTTCTCTCTTTTCACAGCAATAGGCTCTGAACCCAGAGATTTAAAGTCTATTGGCAACAAGAGTTATTTATTAAAAGATACACAGAGAAGTTACATACAATGGTAAAAGAATTTGGAGACCTGTATAATTAAGACCTCATCTTGCTTTGTGACCAGGGTTCAAGGTTCAGAACGTAATTTTTAGATAATAGACATTCCTCTCAGCTCTGTGCATGCCTACTGCACCCACCAACTTTGCAAATTACAGGGTAGTTGCCACTTTAGCTTTTGAGTTTCCCAAACAAGTTTTTTATCTGCCCTCTATGGGAACACCCATGGAATCTGAAGAGGCCTTTATAAATAAACAAAGCAAGAGACATCTGTATCCAAGATGTGGCATGGAGAGCATAAAAACAGCCAGAGTCTGAGAATATCAGTTGAGATCATAGAGTGATGAGATGGACCCTTAGGAAACATGCCCTTGCCCCACATCAGCTAAACACAGCAGCACAACAATCAACATGAGTTTCGTGACATCCCTTCTCTCCTTAGAAGCCTACAGTGGCTCCTAATATCACTTAGTTAAAGGCAAATTCAGCACACTATATAATCTGACCCCTTTTATCCCTCTAACCACTTTTTCTTGAACATGCCAAGAACACTCCAGTCTTAGGGCTTAGCACCTGCCCTTCCCGCTGACTAGAACCCTCTTCTCCTGATTAACCCCCATAGCTTTCTTTCTCACCTCTTGCTTTATTTTTCTCCATTGTGCTTATGTCATCTAACATACTATATAGTTTACTAATTTTTCTTGTTTATAGTCATCTTCATATTATATAGTTTACTAATTTTTCTAGCCTATAGTCATCTTCCCTGCTAGGGGATAAGCTCCATGAGGGCAGGAAAATTGTGTCTGTTTTTGTTTTCTGCAGAATTCCCAATACCTACAACAATGTCTAGCATAAATACTTGTCGAAAGAGTCAATGAATGAATAAATGCCATCACATATGTGTAGGTGTTTGTAAGCAAATGTTCTTTTACAAAATTGTAGTGCAGACAATATTCCAATTAAAAAGAGGATCCAGAACTACAGTACACACAACTAGCTTTGAGCCCCACCTTGACACTTTCTCATTATTTGTATAAGTGAACCTCATGTTCAGTTAAAATGGGATTTTAAAAAATTGGAGTTCTTATAATGTTCTAAGATAAATTATGTAAAATTATTCTATAAATTGTAGCACTATTAAGTGTTAATTACTCTCCTCTTCATAGGTTGTCACTTTATATATGTAACATTTTCCCACTGTCTAAGACAATTGGTGATACTCAATAAATATATGTGAAATATCAAATAAATTGCACAACAATTACTCCAGATAATTAAAAATTTCCCTTTGGAAGAACCCAGGTAGGTATCAATGGTTGAATCCCAGTGGCATTATTCAGTGGGATTTCTGGTCATATTCATTCGTGTTGAGTTCAAATAACTTTTGGCATAACTAAAAAACAAAATTTGTCCCCAAATAATTAGTTAGTATTATTATTCCAGAAAAAAGTATTAAAAGTTTTAAAAATAATTCCAGAATGACAATAACAGTAATTATAACAATAATAAGCCTTAATATGTGTAGACATATTTTCAGAGTAAATAAAAACCATCCCTTCGTAATTATTGTGAAAGGAATAACACTAGTTCAGCCATTGTATTAAAAAACAAATCTCTTCAACTAAGATGACTGTAATTCCACCATTAAAGGCCTACTTTAATGAGTGAATTGTGTGTTCTGAAGATTCATAAGCTTGAAAGTTTAGCCCACTCTGGTTCTGCCCGTTGGTAGGTCACTATGCCTATTCTCCTGGATATTTTCCGTAAAACAAGAGAATAAAAGGGAGCAGAATAGTTGCTATTCTGGAGGAGGTGTTATCCCCAGGCATATTCAAAAGAAAACCCTGAGTTAAATGGTTTTATCTCTAAGGGATCATCTAATTAACAGAACAAAATGAAGAAAAAGCATGAGGTCACTGTGATGTAACAACAGAGTCATTGCACGTTGTCTTTTTTTTAACATCTTACCAAGGTATAATTCCACATACTATGAAATTCACCAAAACAAAGGTTGAATTCAATGATTTTTTTAGTATAATCACAATTGTGCAACCATCACAACAATCTAAGTTTAGAACATTTTTATTACTCTAAAGAGAAACCCTGTACCCATTCGCCATCTCTCCCCATCTCTCCCTTCTCCCATCCCCTGGCAACTACAAATCTTTCTTTATATACAGATTTCCCTACTCTGTGCTTTTCGTCTGAGTGCAATCATACGACATGTTGTCTTTAGTGACTGGCTTCTTTTATTTAGCATAATATTTTCAAAGTTCATTCATGTCATAGCATGCATCAGTATTTCATTCATTTTTATTGCCAAACGTGTTCCAGTGTATGAATGTGTCACATTTTGCTTATCTGTTCACCAGTTGATGGTCAACTGGGTTACTCCCACTTTTTGTCTATTAGGAACAATGTGACTATGAACATTTGTGTACAACTTTTTGTTCATTGTCTTTTAATATTTCTAAGATTAATATTCCCCATAGAATTTCCTATGAAGAAATTCACAATCTTTGCAACTTCACAGTCTACACACAATCAAACCCCACCCTCACCACACTTACTGTGTGATTATGCATCTGCTTAACTTCTCTGAGCCTCGGTTTTTTTCATTTGCAACATGTGCTGGCAGAAAGTTAAGTGCTTGAAAGTGACGCTTATGCAGAATACTAAAAAATCTTCCGAATCTTCTATCCTGTGTCTATCTTCACAGCCACCTTAGAGATGGCAGATTTGGAGTGCTTCCTTTCTAAGTCAATTTCAATATCTAAAAAATCCAGGTAAAATTTGAGTAATAAAAAAAAATGAACTACAATTCATAATATTTGTTAATAGAGAAAAAATTCAATTTAACATGTCATTTCTGTCGAATGAAGGTGACTGACTAGTAAAGAAGACTTAAATAATACTTATGAGTTTAAATGTAATTTTTATTGAGTTTTTCTGTCTGCTAATTTATTGATATAAAAGAAAAAAGGAAAAATGTTGGTATGATTTATCATCTATCATTAGTCAAATAGACTGTTTTTTTCCATAATATTCTTAGGATAAATTGCTAATTTCCATTTTGTGGTAAAAATCCATTTCTATGTAACCATTCTATCCCAACCTATTCCATAAAATTGGGATTTACTGTAGTCAAGTGCTGACACTGGTTCAAACTTTAATGGTAGAATATATAGGGAATGTTTCTTTTCTTTTTTTTTCTGACTATGGTACATTAAGTCCCTAGAGGGGGCAAATGTTTAGCAACATGTTACTTATCACTATATGACTATATAGGACTCTAATTCAGAAATGTCTTTTGCAATCATCAATGACTTCTTCCTGAATTGTGCCTACCAGGCAGCCATTAGCAAATTCTCTACCTTTAGAAACATTCTGTAGACAAATATCAAATAGTTTTCTTTATTTATGATCTGCTTTGCTAGCATAGAAACAGTCCCAAAGGAAGGAGTTTCTTTTTCTTTTGTTTTGTTTTGTTTTACTTTCCCAAAGACATCTTTCTTTTATTCTCTTCTGTACCCTAAACAGCTTTCTTCTCCTAGAAAGTAAATACCATGGCTGACCTATGAGCCAGATACTTCTGTTCATTAAACTGACCCTGCTAATCAAAAAAAAAAAAATAGGAAAGTTTGTATGCGCAGGCATAGTATTAATGGTATGACTTATTTCTGCTTGTTCATATTGTAATGGAACTTTTCTCCTATGGTTCATTCATCACTTTAAAAAATTAAGCCAATTTAGAAATACAATTTGAATGTATAATTGAATTTGTCAGTTGATTTTAGCCTTTACAAGTTAATCAAATAGCAGAGACTCAAGGAAGTTTCTCACACATGCTCTCTTTTATGGGCAGCCAATCATTCCCCAAAGAGAATGTCAAATTCTTTCAGGAATTTTTGCTGATTAGATCCTCATTCTTTCTTTAGAGGACTGAATTTTTTTTTCCTAGCAATCAAGATTCATGCTATCAGTCAAACTGAAAGGAATAAAATGGCATAATTTTAGCTAAAATATTAGAAATGACAAATAAGTGAAATATGTTAACTGGAGTGGAAAAGAAATGTGTAATTAAGCAACACAAAGACCATATGTCAGACACTTCTACAGTCATAGATGGGAAGAGAGTGTAGACTTCTTGCAAAGACCCACACAGCTGTCAGGAAACTTCAGTCCTCTTTAGGATTCACTAGACTTATTGGGGATATCTCACCTTTACCCGCAATTGACAAGTTAGTTGTTGTTTTTATTTTTGCTGAGTATTAGGATGCTTGATTAATTAATTTTAACATGTGGTAAATTAAGTAAATTATAATGGGAAAAAGATATTTGCACGATTTAAATGATTTAAATACACACAGAAATAGGCTTATTTGACATGTTGAAAATCTGAATTGCTACCTTTCAAATATTACTCGGTCCTGTTTCAAGCATGTTTTGAAATTTTTCATGGAAATCTGTGTCATACTTAAAATGACATTTATTTCTCTATGTTCTAATGGTGCTGAAGCATAGAGCCCTATTTGGATATTCTCTATCTAAAATAGACTGGAGATTCAGATAGCCACACGGGTGTTGCAAACCTGCATCGTGGGACTGGGCGACACCTCAGTCCCAGTGACCACATCTGCAGAGCCCAGAGGATCCCAGGAACCAGGTGGTTCCATTTGGTGAAAAGAATGGGAGAATCTACAGGATTCAGTATGAGAATATTTCTAAACTCTGAAGAAGACATAATTAAATCTAGGTCCCAGTATTAAAATCAGTCTTCCTTATCCTCAGCAGTATAGTGGGATTGTCAAGATTATTATATTTTGAAATACTAGTTGCCATTTTAGTCATAGAATCAATGTGATAACCCATTTCATAGGGGTGTGCAGTACAAAAACAGTGATGTGAACCTCTTTTACATTTGGCATTTCTGAAAACTTCCAACAAAGCATTCAGAGCTAGCATAATTCCAGCCAGATGAGGACTTTTAACCATGATACTGACATGGCTTAGAAATATGAAACGTTGGCCGGGCGCGGTGGCTCACGCCTGTAATCCCAGCACTTTGGGAGGCCGAGGCGGGAGGATCACGAGGTCAGGAGATCGAGACCACGGTGAAACCCCGTCTCTACTAAAAATACAAAAAATTAGCCGGGCGCAGTGGCGGGCGCCTGTAGTCCCAGCTACTCGGGAGGCTGAGGCAGGAGAATGGCGTGAACCCGGAAGGCGGAGCTTGCAGTGAGCGGAGATCGCGCCACAGCACTCCCGCCTGGGCGACAGAACGAGACTCCGTCTCAAAAAAAAAAAAAAAAAAGAAAGAAATATGAAACGTTACAGTCCATCAGACATTTCAACAAATTCACTTTCTGATGCAGAGTGTACACTGAAGGATTCAAGATACTGAGAACCCGCTGGCTGCCAAGTTTTACTTGTGAATTACAAACATATGTAATATATTTTATATAATATTTAAATGGCTTGCATTATCAACATTTCTCTCTCCATTGAGTTCTTTCCTTCAGTTTAGCGTCTCTTTCAAGTCATTCCAAGAAGTCTTTTTATCTTTGTCCACCTTCAAACTGCCACCCACCCCCACTTCCTTTCACAGCCAGTGTTTTTTGAGAACAGTGGCAATGGCCCGTTCACCCATTGGTGCCTCAATGTACTGTCACCAATGGCCCCAGCAGCAGCTATTTTTTTAATTGTAGTAAAATATACATAGCATAAAATTTACCTTTTTATCTATTTTTAAGTATACATCAGTATTATTAAGTAGTATTAAGTACATTCACATTGTTATGCAACCAATCTCCAGAACTTTTTTTGTCTGTAAAACTGAAATTCTATGCCCATAAAATAACAGCTCTTCATTATGACCTCTCCCCAGCCCCTGGCAGCCACCATTCTACTTTCTCCTCCATGATTTTGACTACTCAGCGTACCTAATATGAGTGGAATCAGACAGTACTTATCTTTTTGTGACTGGCTTACTTCACTTAGCAAAATGTTTTCAAGGTTTATCAATGTTGTAGCATGTGTCAGAATTTCCTTTCTTTTTAAGGCTGAATAATGTTCCATTGTATAACAGAAATTCTTTATCCATTCATCTGTTGACAGACACTTGAGTTGCTTTCACCTTTTGGCTATTGTGAATAATGCTTCTATGAACATGGGTTCAAAAATATCTCTCCAAGACTACTTTCAGTTCTTCTGGGCATATATCCAAAAGTGGAATTGCTAGATGATACAGCATTTTATTTTTAATAGTTTAAGGCAGCAGTCCTCAAACTTTTTGGCAACAGGGACCAGTTTCGTGGAAGACAATTTTTCAACAGATGGGACAGACCTGGGGTAAGGGAAAGAATGGAGGGGAATAGTTTGGGGATGCAACTGTTCCACCTTGGATCAGCAGGCATTAGAGTCTCATAAGGAGCATGCAACCTAGATCACGTGCATCGCAGTTCACTATAGGGTCTGTGCTCCTATGAGAACCTAATCCTGCCACTGATCCAACAGGAGGCAGAGCTCAGATCATAATGTAATGCTCCCTTGCCTGCTGCTCCCCTCCTCCTCTGAGGCCCAGTTCCTAACAGGCCACAGACTAGTTCCCTGGGGAAAGGGGGACCCCTGGCTTAAGGAACTGCTATACTGTTTTCCATAGCTACCACCCCATTTTACATTCCTGCAAACAGGGCACAAGGGTCTCAGTTTCTCCACATCTTTGTCAACACATTACTTTCTGTTTTTTTACAGTAACCATCCTAAAAAATGTGAAGCAGCAGCTCATTTTTAGATCTACTATTTTAGAGTCTTTCAAGGTGTGGTTTGCAGATATGCCTCAGAGTCACTTCAAAAACACATGAGGAACATCTAGATTCCTGAATCCAAAGCTCTAGAGATTGGGCCTCACAATATGTTAACGGGTGCCTGAGATGTTGTTTTCAATGACTTTTGATACACAACCTACCATATTGGATGGATATGATGTGAAAGTACCTCAAGATAAGAAAGAAAATTTGCAGAGAATCATACAGATACCATATAGAACAGAATAGTTGATATAATAATTGTCACTTTGCATGTGAATACATAAACTAAGATTATGTAGAAACAACTAGCAACTTGTTACCTCTAGATGTATAATTTTGCAAATATAACTAAGTCCCAAGCCACACAGTGACAATTTACATCACGGTGCTGAACGTTACCATTATCATCACTGAATTGATGGGAAACTATAAGCACTTTCATTGTGTTCAATGGGAGGGGTGAGTATCACATATATAATGATATCTGCCTCACTGCTGCACTGGCAAATATTTTTATTTTTATCTATTTCCCTTCTTTTAATCAGTAAAAGTCAGGGTTGGCATTTCAGTTATTTTATGATTATTTGAGGCTTTTAGATTGACTACTGTGCTAGGCACTGTTTATTTTCTGCAGGGTAGACAGTGCCTTAGACCTTAGCTATTTGGGAAGGTTCCAGTTTATTATGGGAGAAGACCTTAGGGACCAAAATGAAATTGTCCAAAATGACAGCGGGTAGGAACATAAACTGAACAGGAAGAAAATCAGTTTTTACTGTAAGTAAGAAACAAGTTAAAAGGTGCTTAATGTCAAGATTTGAATTAAGAAGCTTTAGCTTATGCCAAAGAATTTTTAAAATTTTAAACTACTTGTGCTGATTTTGCTTCAGCAAAACTAGATTTATAAAATCATGTATAAGCAGATCTTTTACTTCCAAAATGCTGGGCATCTTTCCAATCCTACTCTTTAGATTTTGTGTTTCTATAGTTCTGTGCTGGTATTTTTATGCTTCTGAAACCCTGTCTGCTTTCAGCAATTAATAAAAATACTATGGGTTTTGATTTGCATCACTGCAGCATATGAACTAAATTACTTTGCATCTGCAGGTTTAAAGCAGAATAAAACTCTTTGTGATAAAGTTTCATAATGTTCAGATGTAAGTCACTGAACCATGGAATCCAATGAGCCAACACCAAGGCAGCAAGGAAGAGTGGCTGCCGTTTGTTCCAGTTTATATCATTCCAGCTAAACTGTCTGCCATTCTAGAGAGGTTTAAATACTAAGCCCCTACGTTGCTTTTAAAATATAATGAGTAATTTCCTGACCAAAAGCAACCACTGAGACAAACCAGAGCACAGCACAAGATGGCACCCCAACTTGTCCATCATGGCTTAACCATGGTAGGTGCCAAGTCAATGCAGAAAAGTTTGCTCTCACAGGGTATTTAAAGAATAGCTATTATAAGTTATTATATCTTCACTAGAATATATCTCTTATTCACCATTCAGTGCTTCCACCCAAGGGTAAAATTAAAGTGATTTCTCCTACTACAGTTTATTCTGGGTGACCTGCCTGCCTTCATTGCTTCTTCCCTTTGTTCTAGTTCAGTCCACTGCAGTACAATTCACACAGGTAAGATACTCATCTACTTTTCACTATAGTGTAAAGGAGTACATAGATAATCTCCTAGAATAAAGGATAGAATGAGTTATAGTGATATAACAACTTCAACATTGTTTCAAAGATAGGGAATAGTTTATTAATAATATAAGAATTAAGGATGAGGATTATGTTTCATTAATATGTACAACTCTTCAGTCTTTAGCACAGTTTATTACATGTAAAAAGACTCAAACTCTAAATGCATAAATGAATTAAGCCCAGTTTTTTGGGTTAGTTCCATCCAGGTTTAAATATTTCCCTTTGGCCCATAAATATGTTCACATAGCTTGGCCTTAGTTTTCTTTTTCTTCTGGATAATTTACCCTAAATTCTTCTAGTTCCAAGTTGAGTTGATCCCTTTTAATCACTATTTTATCCTCTTAAGGTCAAAGGATCTCATAAAATTACAATGATTTCATGTGTATCCCTTTCAACAACTCTGCTAAGTTTACCCAGTGTCTACTAGGGAATTCCGACTTGCCCCTTTCTTCCTTCTTCAACTTTTGACTTAGACCCCTTGCTGGTATCAGCATTTATTTTCAAATGAACCATCATGTTAAGTAGCTGCTTTGAATTACCTAGAATATCTTCTCACTTCTCATGCCCTCTATCACACATACCCCACTCTTAAGTTACAATTTACATACTAGAAAACTGGCTTTTCTTTTGGCCATTTTTTTTGAAATGGGGTCTCATTTGTCACATAAGCTGGAGTGCAGTGTCATGATCATAGCTCATTACAGCCTCAAACTCCTGGGTTCAAGCAATCCTCCCACCTTGGCCTCCCAAAGCACTGAGATTATAGATGTGAGCCATCGCACCCAGCCCCTTATGCTATTTTTAAGTCTTTGAGTTATTTGGGCCTCATCATCCTGGAATATTCCTAAGCCCTGTTCTATTTTTAAAACTAAAGATCTTTTAGAGAAAGAATCTTTAGTTTTTCCTGTCTTCCCATGAATATCATATGCCAAGTTGTTTGTCCTTTATTACCCAAACTTGGCCATTACATTTCCTTTAAAGCAAGAGTCTTCCAAATGATACAGTGGGGTAATATGCTGAAAGGGCAATCAGTTGTTTAAACTCCAGAACGATATTCCACATAAAAATGAATGTGGAAGCAGAGAGGAGCCAAGATGGCCGAATAGGAACAGCTCTGGTCTACAGCTCCCAGTGTGAGCGACGCAGAAGACGGTGATTTCTGCATTTCCATCTGAGGTACCAGGTTCATCTCACTAGGGAATGCCAGACAGTGGGCGCAGGTCAGTGGGTGCATGCACCGTGTGCAAGCCAAAGCAGGGCGAGGCATTGCCTCACTTGGGAAGCGCAAGGGGTCAGGGAGTTCCCTTTCCGAGTCAAAGAAAGGGGTGACGGACGGCACCTTGAAAATTGGGTCACTCCCACCCGAATACTGCGCTTTTCCGACGGGCTTAAAAAACGGCACACCACCAGATTATATCCTGCACCTGGCTTGGAGGGTCCTACGCCCACGGAGTCTCGCTGATTGCTAGCACAGCAGTCTGAGATCAAACTGCAAGGCGGCAGCGAGCCTGGGGGAGGGGCGCCCACCATTGCCCAGGCTTGATTAGGTAAACAAAGCAGCCAGAAAGCTCCAACTGGGCGGAGCCCACCACAGCTCAAGGAGGCCTGCCTGCCTCTGTAGGCTCCACCTCTGGGGGCAGGGCACAGACAAACAAAAAGACAGCAGTAACCTCTGCAGACTTAAATGTCCCTGTCTGACAGCTTTGAAGAGAGCAGTGGTTCTCCCAGCACACAGCTAGAGATCTGAGAACGGGCAGACTGCCTCCTCAAGTGGGTCCCTGACCCATGACCCCTGAGCAGCCTAACTGGGAGGCACCCCCCAGCAGGGGCACACTGACACCTCACACGGCAGGGTATTCCAACAGACCTGCAGCTGAGGGTCCTGCTGTTAGAAGGAAAACTAACAAACAGAAAGGACATCCACACCAAAAACCCATCTGTACATCACCATCATCAAAGACCAAAAGTAGATAAAACCACAAAGATGGGGAAAAAACAGAACAGAAAAACTGGAAACTCTAAAAACCAGAGCGCCTCTCCTCCTCCAAAGGAACGCAGTTCCTCACCAGCAATGGAACAAAGCTGGATGGAGAATGACTTTGATGAGCTGAGAGAAGAAGGCTTCAGACGATCAAATTACTCTGAGCTATGGGAGGACATTCAAACCAAAGGCAAAGAAGTTGAAAACTTTGAAAAAAATTTAGAAGAATGTATAACTAGAATAACCAATACAGAGAAGTGCTTAAAGGAGCTGATGGAGCTGAAAACCAAGGCTCGAGAACTACGTGAAGAATGCAGAAGCCTCAGGAGCTGATGCAATCAACTGGAAGAAAGGGTATCAGCGATGGAAGATGAAATGAATGAAATGAAGCAAGAAGGGAAGTTTAGAGAAAAAAGAACAAAAAGAAATGAGCAAAGCCTCCAAGAAATATGGGACTATGTGAAAAGACCAAATCTACGTCTGATTGGTGTACCTGAAAGTGAAGTGGAGAATGGAACCCAGTTGGAAAACATTCTGCAGGAGATTATCCAGGAGAACTTCCCCAATCTAGCAAGGCAGGCCAACGTTCAGATTCAGGAAATACAGAGAACACCACAAAGATACTCCTCGAGAAGAGCAACTCCAAGACACATAATTGTCAGATTCACCAAAGTTGAAATGAAGGAAAAAATGTTAACGGAAGCCAGAGAGAAAGGTCGGGTTACCCTCAAAGGGAAGCCCATCAGACTAACAGTGGATCTCTTGGCAGAAACCCTACAAGCCAGAAGAGAGTGGGGGCCAATATTCAACATTCTTAAAGAAAAGAATTTTCAACCCAGAATTTCATATCCAGCCAAACTAAGCTTCATAAGTGAAGGAGAAATAAAATACTTTACAGACAAGCAAATGCTGAGAGATTTTGTCACCACCAGGCCTGCCCTAAAAGAGCTCCTGAAGGAAGTGCTAAACATGGAAAGGAACAACCCGTACCAGCCACTGCAAAATCATGCCAAAATGTAAAGACCATTGAGACTAGGAAGAAACTCCATCAACTAACGAGCAAAATAAGCAACTAACATCATAATGACAGGATCAAATTCACACATAACAATATTAACTTTAAATGTAAATGGGCTAAATGCTCCAATTAAAAGACACAGACTGGCAAATTGGATAAAGAGTCAAGACCCATCAGTGTGCTGTATTCAGGAAACCCATCTCATGTGCAGAGACACACATAGGCTCAAAATAAAAGGATGGAGGAAGATCTACCAAGCAAACGGAAAACAAAAAAAGGCAGGGGTTGCAATCCTAGTCTCTGATAAAACAGACTTTAAACCAACAAAGATCAAAAGAGACAAAGAAGGCCATTACATAATGGTAAAGGGATCAATTCAACAAGAAGAGCTAACTATCCTAAATATATATGCACCCAACACAGGAGCACCCGGATTAATAAAGCAAGTCCTGAGTGACCTACAAAGAGACTTAGACTCCCACACATTAATAATGGGAGACTTTAACACCCCACTGTCAACATTAGACAGATCAACGAGACAGAAAGTCAACAAGGATACCCAGGAATTGAACTCAGCTCTGCACCAAGTGGACCTAATAGACATCTACAGAACTCTCCACCCCAAATCAACAGAATATACATTTTTTCAGCACCACACCACACCTATTCCAAAATTGACCACATACTTGGAAGTAAAGCTCTCCTCAGCATATGTAAAAGAAGAGAAATTATAACAAACTATCTCTCAGACCACAGTGCAATCAAACTAGAACTCAGGATTAAGAAACTCACTCAAAACTGCTCAACTACATGGAAACTGAACAACCTGCTCCTGAATGACTACTGGGTACATAACGAAATGAAGGCAGAAATAAAGATGTTCTTTGAAACCAACGAGAACAAAGACACAACATACCAGAATCTCTGGGACACATTCAAAGCAGTGTGTAGAGGGAAATTTATAGCACTAAATGCCCACAAGAGAAAGCAGGAAAGATCCAAAATTGACACCCTAACATCACAATTAAAAGAACTAGAAAAGCAAGAGCAAACACATTCAAAAGCTAGCAGAAGGCAAGAAATAACTAAAATCAGAGCAGAACTGAAGGAAATAGAGACACAAAAAACCCTTCAAAAAATTAATGAAACCAGGAGCTGGTTTTTTGAAAGGATTAACAAAATTGATAGACCGCTAGCAAGACTAATAAAGAAAAAAAGAGAGAAGAATCTAATAGACGCAATAAAAAATGATAAAGGGGATATCACCACCGATCCCACAGAAATACAAACTACCATCAGAGAATACTACAAACACCTCTACGCAAATAAACTAGAAAATCTAGAAGAAATGGATAAATTCCTCAACACATACACTCTCCCAAGACTAAACCAGGAAGAAGTTGAATCTCTGAATAGACCAATAACAGGATCTGAAATTGTGGCAATAATCAATAGCTTACCAACCAAAAAGAGTCCAGGACCAGATGTATTCACAGCTGAATTCTACCAGAAGTATGAGGAGGAACTGGTACCATTCCTTCTGAAACTATTCCAATCAATAGAAAAAGAGGAAATCCTCCCTAACTCATTTTATGAGGCCAGCATCATTCTGATACCAAAGCCAGGCAGAGACACAACAAAAAAAGAGAATTTTAGACCAATATCCTTGATGAACATTGATGCAAAAATCCTCAATAAAATACTGGCAAACCGAATCCAGCAGCACATCAAAAAGCTTATCCACCATGATCAAGTGGGCTTCATCCCTGGGATGCAAGGCTGGTTCAATATACACAAATCAATAAATGTAATCCAGCATATAAGCAGAGCCAAAGACAAAAACCACATGATTATCTCAATAGATGCAGAAAAAGCCTTTGACAAAATTCAACAACCCTTCATGCTAAAAACTCTCAATAAATTAGGTATTGATGGGACATATTTCAAAATAATAAAAGCTATCTATGACAAAACCACAGCCAATATCATACTGAATGGGCAGAAACTGGAAGCATTCCCTTTGAAAACTGGCACAAGACAGGGATGCCCTCTCTCACCACTCCTATTCAACATAGTGTTGGAAGTTCTGGCCAGGGCAATTAGGCAGGAGAAGGAAATAAAGGGTATTCAATTAGGAAAAGAGGAAGTCAAATTGTCCCTCTTTGCAGATGACATGATTGTATATCTAGAAAACCCCATTGTCTCAGCCTAAAATCTCCTTAAGCTGATAAGCAACTTCAGCAAAGTCTTAGGATACAAAATCAATGTACAAAAATCACAAGCATTCTTATACACCAGCAACAGACAAACAGAGAGCCAAATCATGAGTGAACTCCCATTCACAATTGCTTCAAAGAGAATAAAATACCTAGGAATCCAACTTACAAGGCATGTGAAGGACCTCTTCAAGGAGAACTACAAACCACTGATCAAGGAAATAAAAGAGAATACAAACAAATGGAAGAACATTCCATGCTCATGAGCAGGAAGAATCAATATCGTGAAAATGGCCATACTTCCCAAGGTAATTTACAGATTCAATGCCATCCCCATCAAGCTACCAATGCCTTTTTTCACAGAATTGGAAAAAACTACTTTAAAGTTCATATGGAACCAAAAAAGAGCCCGCATCGCCAAGTCAATCCTAAGCCAAAAGAACAAAGCTGGAGGCATCACACTACCTGACTTCAAACTATACTACAAGGCTACAGTAACCAAAACAGCATGGTACTGATACCAAAACAGAGATATAGATCAATGGAACAGAACAGAGCCCTCAGAAATAACGCCGCATATCTAAAACTATCTGATCTTTGACAAACCTGAGAAAAACAAGCAATGGGGAAAGGATTCCCTATTTAATAAATGGTGCTGGGAAAACTGGCTAGCCATATGGAGAAAGCTGAAACTGGATCCCTTCCTTACACCTTATACAAAAATCAATTCAAGATGGATTAAAGACTTAAATGTTAGACCTAAAACCATAAAAACCCTAGAAGAAAACCTAGGCATTACCATTCAGGACATAGGCATGGGCAAGGACTTCATGTCTAAAACACCAAAAGCAATGGCAACAAAAGACAAAATTGACAAATGGGATCTAATGAAACTAAAGAGCTTCTGCACAGCAAAAGAAACTACCATCAGAGTGAACAGGCAACCTACACAATGGGAGAAAATTTTTGCAACCTACTCATCTGACAAAGGGCTAATATCCAGAATCTACAATGGACTCAAACAAATTTACAAGAAAAAAACAAACAACCCCATCAAAAAGTGGGCGAAGGACATGAACAGACACTTCTCAAAAGAAGACATTTATGCAGCCAAAAAACACATGAAAAAATGCTCATCATCACTGGCCATCAGAGAAATGCAAATCAAAACCACAATGAGATACCATCTCACACCAGGTAGAATGGCAATCATTAAAAAGTCAGGAAACAACAGGTGCTGGAGAGGATGTGGAGAAATAGGAACACTTCTACACTGTTGGTGGGACTGTAAACTAGTTCAACCATTGTGGAAGTCAGTGTGGCCATTCCTCAGGGATCTAGAACTGGAAATACCATTTGACCCAGCCATCCCATTACTGGGTATATACCCAAAGGACTATAAATCATGCTGCTATAAAGACACATGCACACGTATGTTTATTGCGGCATTATTCACAATAGCAAAGACTTGGATCCAACCCAAATGTCCAACAATGATAGACTGGATTAAGAAAATGTGGCACATACACCATGGAATACTATGCAGCCATAAAAAATGATGAGTTCATGTCCTTTGTAGGGACATGGATGAAATTGGAAAACATCATTCTCAGTAAACTATCGCAAGAACAAAAAACCAAACACCGCATATTCTCACTCATAGGTGGGAATTGAACAATGAGATCACATGGACACAGGAAGGGGAATATCACACTCTGGGGACTGTTGTGGGGTGGGGGGAGGGGGGAGGGATAGCAATGGGAGATATACCTAATGCTAGATGACGAGTTAGTGGGTGCAGTGCACCAGCATGGCACATGTATACATATGTAACTAACCTGCACAATGTGCACATGTACCCTAAAACTTAAGGTATAATTTAAAAAAAAAAAGAATGTGGAAGTTTCATGAAAATAGAGACTTATTTTATACACTTTATCATAGCTATTGCTACTCATCTGCTCACTTTTCTTCTAAGAAGCTATCTGGAACTATTCTGTCTCTACATAACAATCTAAATATTAATAGGCAGTGTCTATAAACTATTAGTAGTGTCTACATAACAGTATCTATAAAGTCCCAGTTAAATGTCCATATGAAAATGAACACATAGTAAGTGCTAAATTAATATTGTTTTTAGAATGAATATAATAAATGGATCTCAGGCAAGACTCTAAAAGCCTACTTTACTTAGCCTTCATGTGAATGAAATATCATTCTAATAGTGCAGTATCATATGACCTTACCTCCATTTATTAAAGAATTTATCATGAAAATTCCATAGAACTTTAAAATAGAGATGAGAAAAAAAAATCATCTTTGCCTGCTAGGACTTCATCAGAAAGAGGCTCCATCTTCTCCAGCCCTTCCTTTACCTTTTGAGTGGGAATAGCCTTCTTCAATTCTAGTTTATTTCTGGGGATTGCAAATAAGAAGAGACCATTTGTACATATTTGGTGCCATAGAGAAGAGTAAGGAATAGAGATACGGGCTCTTACGGAAGCTGAGGAATAGGACAGGGTTTGGTGAAATCCCAGGGAAGTTAGCAAAGGCTAAGGCTAAGAGGCAAATAAGGACAGAAGTTAGGTCACAGTGATGGCATGAAACATGCAATGATTCCATTAATAAATGGTCACTATACGCCAAGTACTGTGGTAAACATTAGCTCATTTAATCTTTACAAGAACCTAGCTAGGTTTATATCATTACTCTCCATTTTATAGAGAGTGAGATTCAATAATTTACTTTTTCTTTGGTTACACTCTTAAAAAAGTAATAACTCAAATAAGTACAAATAGAACTGGTGAAATCTGAATAAGATTGTATGGATGGTGATATCCTGGTTGTGATATTTTAGGATTGTTTTGCAATGTTACCTTTGGGAGAAACTGTGTAGAGTATACCCTCAATTTTTAAGAATTCTTATATTGTGAATATTCTTAGAAAACTAAACATAATTTTACTTTATGTTCTAGTAATCATTCTACTAGATATTAACCCAACTGATTTGAAAGCTTATATCCATATAAAAATCTTCTCATTAATATTTATGTATGTCTTGTTCTTAATTGCCAAAGATTGGAAGTAACCAAGATGTTCTTGAGTAGGTGAATGGATAAATAAACCGTGATACATCCATAAAAAGAAATATTATTTAACAATACAAGGAAATGAACAAAAAAAAGTGGATGGACCTTAAGGGCATATGTTAACTGAAAGAAGTCAGTCAGAAATGTTCCTAGACTTTATGATTAAATTTATGCGGTATTCTGAACAAACCAAAACTATAGCGACAGTAAAATATCAGTGGTTATCAGGAGTGAGGGGTGAGGAGAGGAAGGTTGAGTAGGGAAATTACAGGGGATGTTTTAGGGTGGTGAAACTATTCTGTATAATACTATAATGGTGGATACATGAAATTATGCATTTATAAAAATCCACAGAATATTACAGTATAAAGAGTAAGCCTTAATATATGAATTTTTTAATAATATCATTTAGGAGGTTGGAAGAGCCCAGTAAATAATGCAGACTGTGACAAGAGAGTCTAACTGTATTATAGATGTATGAAACAACTTAACTAAAGAGAGTGATCAGAAAACGTTCTGACATAAGCAGTTTTGGAAATGAGTAGTCTGGAAGACTAAAGGAAAAAGAAACTGTACATAAGCACTGTACTCTAGTTGATAAGTATTGTTCCATGTTAGCAATGTTAGCAATTCTGATACTGCTATACAACTGTACTGGAATTGAACAATTAAGTAAATAGATGGAGAATGCTAAAAGCCCAATTTTTTCACTGTTTTAGTGGGAGGTTGAAGATAAGAAGAGAAGGCTAGAATGATCCATGGGGTAATGGATTAGAATTGGGGACATTAGTGTGAGTTCATATTTAGCTGAATATAGATGCATATAGTTACATATGTAAATATATATATTTACATAGAAATATACACATGTATAAGCACACATGTATATATGTGTATATACATGCATACATACATGTATCCATAGGTTAGTATACACACACATATTTTCTTGCACTGTCAGTTGACAGGGCCTAAAGCAATGACACCTCAGTAGCAATGGGCACATCTAACACCCAGCTTTTGGTTTCTAACACCAGTCTTCAATAAGGGTCATCTTGGAAAAATAACTCATTCTAGGACTAGAGCAGGAAATATATAAGATCAGCTGGGAGTATCTTATAATACCAGAAAATGAGGAAATGCACACACACACACACACACACACACACACACAATGATGGGGGTATGTCAAAACAAAAACAAACTGAAAAACAGGAGCTGACTGAAAGAGTCTTATTGGCCAAAGTGGAAATCATATGTTCAAGAAAATAAGTAAGTATTGGATTATAACCCTTATTATTCATATCCAACAAGTATGTAAATTCTATTTACAAAAATCTCTTAAATCTTGACCCTATTTGCTGTTATCTCTGCTGGGCTTTTAATTATCTCCCTCTAAATTATTATCATGGCCTCAGGACTGGGATCTTGCCTTCAGCCTTATCTACAGTTCACTGTATTTTGCAAAGTGACCCAGAGTCATCTTTTTAAGTGTAGTTCTCACCATGTTTCTCCTTTGCTTAAAATCTTTAAATGGTCCCTTACTACCTAAATTCTTTATCATTACCCTTCAAAATTTGATCCCAGATTACCTTGTTGGTGAATTCCACAATCTCCCTGACAGAGCCCAGAAATCCTATAAGCCAGGACAAAAAAGACTGACACTGGAGAACTTCCAGAAGGTACCTCCTAAGAAACCTTAACTGACAGACACTCCAAGAGTAGGTAGTGGAAAGAAAAGAGGGTTGGTGGAATGTTAAGCAAATTAGTAACAGGCAAACAATAAATATTACCTAGTTCAAGGCACAGAGTAAATGGGTAACATTCCATAAATGTTTATTGAACAGAACTGAAGTGGATCCAAAATGGCAGATAATGGATAAAAGGTCATTACAGCTTATGATCCTGTTCCTGGAAAAAATCATAATAATGTACTTTACATATAGCATGTGCTTAATACATTTTTCCTTGAAGTTCTTTTAGACTTTTGAAAATACTTCACATGGTGTATTTAAAATATCTGCAAAGTTTCCTTCATCCTTATTCTTCTTGCCTTCTCTACTGCTCTAGAAAGGTTAAATGTCATCAACATTATAGTACAGATTTTAATGGTCCACACTCACTGTTTTTTGATTTGTGAAATGTTGAAAAATATGAGAAAAAAATTTAAAAATGAAGAATTAACATTAAAATCTGAATTCCCTTAAAAATGGTAAGATGTGTAACTCAGGAATTTCATTTCTGCACAATATTCAATGAGAACAGAGTGGCACTTGCAGCTGCCCAGATCTACTCTCTCACCTCTGTAGGCTTCTCAGTTTGAGTTAAACAGACTTTTATTTGAATCTTGGCTCTGCCAAGGTGGGTATATTATATAAATTCTCTCTACCCCAGTATTTTCAACTATAAAGTAGAGATAATCATAATCACTCATCAATAAGTTTAGTATGAAGAATAAATGAAAAAATCTGCAAAGATTTTGAGCACAGAATAATTACTTTATAAATTTTATTTGTTGAAAAATTATGCTTTTGTTATCAAGTACAGAGTTAAAAAAATAAAAGTAGTGGTAGATTGGGAGAAACAAATATAGACATATCTTGTTTTATTGGGCTTTACTCTATTGGGCTTTACGGTAATTTTGGTTTCTGCAAATTGATGGTTTGTGGGAACTCTGAGTGGAGCAAGGCTATCAACACAATTTTTCCAATAACATATGCTCACTTCATGTCTCTGTGTCACATTTGGGTAGTTCTCACAATATTTCCAACTATTTCGTTGTTATCGTATCTGTTATGGTGATCTGTGATCAGTCATCTTTGATGTTTTGGGGGTGCCACAATTCACATCCATATAAGATGGAGAACTTAATCAATAATGTTATATGTGTTCTGACTGCTCAATTCACTGGCCATTCCCCCATCTCTCTCCCTTTCTTCCAGCCTCCCTATTCTTTCATACACAACAATATTGAAATTAGGCCAATTAGTAACCCTACAATGGCTTCTAAGTATTCAAGTGAAAGGTAGAGCCAAATGTCTCTCGCTTTAAATCAAAAGCTAGAAATGATTCAGCTTAGTGGAGGAAGAAGGCATGCCAAAAGTCAAAACAGGATGAAAGCTAAGCCTCTTGCCCTAAACAATTAGCCAAGTTGTCAATGCAAAGGAAAAGTTCTTGAAGGAAACTAAAAATGCTACTCCAATAAACATATAAATGATAAGAAAGAGAAACATCCTTACTGCAGATATTGAGTGGTCAGGATAGATCAAAACAGCCACAAAATTCCCCAAAGCTCTCTTCACTTGTATGAAGGCTGAGAGAGGTGAGGAAGCTGCAGAAGAAAAACTGGAAACCAGCAGAAGTTAGTTCATGAGGTTTAAGGCAAGAAGCCATCTCTATAACATGAAAGTGTAAAATGAAGCAGCAAGTGCTGATATAGAAGCTGCAGCCAGTGATCCAGAAGATCTAGCTAAGATCATTGATGAAGGTGGCTACCCTAAACAACAGATTTTTTAATTAGATACAACAGCTTTATATTAGAATAAGATGCCAAATATAACTTCCATAGCTAGACAGAAGTCAATGCCTGGCTTCAAAACTTCAAATGATAGGCTGACTCTCCTGTTAGAGGCTAATGCAGCTGGTAACAAGTTGAAGCCAAGACTTATTTACCATTGCAAAAGTCCTAAGGACCTCAAGAATCATGCTAAATCTACTCTGCCTGTGCTCTATAAATGCAACAACAAAGCCTGAATGATAGCACATCTGTTTACAGCACAGTTTACTGAATATTTTAAGCCCACTATTGTGACTTACTGCTCAGAAAAAAGGATTCCTTTCAAAATATTTCTGCTCATTTACAAGGTTCCTGTAACCCAAGAGCTCTGATGGAGATGTTAATGGAAATTAATGTTGTTTTTATGCCTGCTAACACAACAACCATTCTGCAGCCCATGGATCAAGGAGTAATTCAACTTTCAGCTCTTATTATTTTTAAAAAGTATATTTTATGACTTATAGATTACATAGATAATAATTTATATGAAGGAGTTAGGCAAAGTAAATTGAAAACCTTCTGCAAATGAAGATTTTCCTTTTTATTCTAGTGCCATTAAGAACATTCAGGATTCATGAGAGGAGGTCAAAGTTTCAACATTAATAGAAGTTTGGAAGAAGTTGATTCCAACCCTCATGGATGAATTTGAGGGGTTCAAGGCTTTAGTCATTAATATGGCTTGGCTGTGTAGCCACCCAAATCTCATCTTGAATTGTAGTTCTCATAATCCCCATGTGTCATGGGAAGGATGCGGCGGGAGCTAATTGAATCACAGGGATGGTTACCTCCATGCTGCTGTTCTTGTGATAAGTCAATGAGTTCTCACAAGATTTGATGGTTTTAAAAGGGGCTTTTCCCCCTTTTGCTTGGCACTTCTCCTTGCTGCCACCATGTGAAGAGGGACATGTTTGCTTCCCCATCTGCCATGATTGTAAGTTTCCTGAGGCCTCCCCAGCCAGGTGGAACTGTGAGTCAATTAAACCTCTTTCCTTTAGAAACTACCCAGTCTTGACTATGTCATTAATACAGTAAACTGGTACCGGGAGTGCTGCTATGAAGATGCTCGAAAATGTGGAAGCAGCTTTGGAACTGGGTAACAGGCAGAGGTTGGAACAATTTGGAGGGCTCAGAAGAAGACAGGAAAATGTAAGAAAGTTTGGAACTTCCTAGAGACTTGGAGGGCTCAGAAGACAGAAAGACGTGGGAAAGTTTGGAACTTCCTTGAGATTTGTTGAATGGCTTTGACCAAAATGCTGATACTGATACAGACAATAAGGTCCAGGCTGAGGTGGTCTCAGATGGTGATGAGGAACTTGTTGAGAACTGGAGCAAAGGTAACTCTTGTTATGCTTCAGCAAAGAGACTGGCAGCATTTTGCCCCTGCCCTAGAGATCCGTGAAACTTTGAACTTGAGAGAGATGACTTAGGGTATCTGGCAGAAGAAATTTCTAAGTGGCAAAGCATTCAAGAGGAAGCAGAGCATAAAAGTTTGGAAAATTTGCAGCCTGATGATGCAATAGCAAAGGAAAACCCATTTTCTGAAGAGAAATTCAAGCCAGCTACAGAAATTTGCATAAGAAACAAAGAGCCAATGTTAATCACCCAAGAATCCTGGTTCCATATTTGTCTCCATCCATATTCTATTTTATATTGGCATTAGATAAGTTAGTATCAACTTAGAATATTTAAAAAGTAACAATAATATTACCTACATTGAACAGCACACTTAACTAATTTTTTTCTATGTTTGGCAAAATTGACTGCAATTTTAAAAGTTTTGTTACGTGAGCAATCTAAATAAATAAGCCAAGATAGTATGAACATAGTTCTATTCCTTAGATAATAAAATAAAACATAGAAATAATAAAAATAACTTTTAAAATAATATAATTTGTCTATGTCCAAAGAGTGGTTCAATAATGTATAGCTTTTTAAATATATATTCTTTATCTTTATTCCACAAAGCAAAATTATAACATTTGCTTGAAAACGCAATGTTGTATTTTTCTGCCTACAAGTGGAAAAACAATGGAAATTATTGCTATGCTATTTAACAATATTTTACACTGCTCTTAATTATGTGTCATGAACTCTTATTTTCACATAGACCATGTGACTATTGCTATGCTATTTACCAATATTTTACACTGCTCTTACTTATGCATCATGAACCTTTTAATATGCATGTAACCTCTTTTCACCTAGACCATGGGAGTATAAAGAGCAGTTACCAGAAGACCTTGGCTGGGTTCCTGGTTCTGAGAGTCATTTGGGGAAAATCACTTAATCTCTTTCAATTTCATTTTCTTCATCATAAAATAGAGCTCACCATAAATGTTACAACATTGTTATAAGAACTAAAGGACATATTATATGAGAAAGTGATTCACAACCTGCAATGTATTACACACATTAGCAATTATTTTCTTTGTTATTCTTAATAAATTATTTTCCCAATTATTTCCAGTAAATTTTACCTCCAAGCTATGCTTTTTAACTCTAATTCTGCTATAAGTGTGTTTAATATATTCTCTTAAAGTTTTATTTATAGATAATGCATATAACTACCATAGGCATAATGCACTTTTGAAAATAAAGCAAACAAAATAGTTAAGCCAACTGTTCAATATAGGCAATATTACTGTTACTTTTTAAATATTCAAAGTTGATTCTAATGATCTAATGCCAATATAAAATACAATATGGATGGAGATAAATATGGAACCAGGATTCTTTTATAGGATCCAAGATCAAGGTTAGGCCACATTTGTTTAACATTCATTAGCTCTCATAGACCATTGAAAAATGTATAAAAACACATCTTCACCTTTCCAGATTTTGATTCTTGAAGCAGTGGCAGCCAATATCAGCATGGGCAGAAATTAATCATAGGAGATTAGAGACTCTGTCTTATTCTGTGTGTGTGTGTGTTTGTGTATGCATGCGTGCACACCATTCTTCACAACTAGGAAGTGACCCACAGGTAACTTAAGGATAATGTGTCAGAAACTATTATCTTCTAACCAATGACCCTTCCACAGTGTGATCATCAAGAGATGTTACCTGATAAAGATTGGAGCCAGCTCAAGGTTACGTAGTCTGTTATCATTGTAGCATGTCCCTTGGGATAATGGAAGGCATGTGGCTTAGTTGACTGGGTTGAGTGCATGAAAAGGAAGGAAGAGGCACCATACACATCTTGAAAAAGGGAGAAGCTTACACAATTTTCAACAGGGTCACAAACGAAGATGAAGAGTGAGCACTGCATCAACCTGATGCCTAGGCCAGCAGAAATACAACACACTTCATGATTCAAAAACAGCCCGTGTGTTCCTGCTTCCTTTTATCCTGGATTTATAGGGCATCTAAAGAAACTTAATGATATCTGAATAGCTCCCTCACAATCCACATGTTCTGGCAGGGGGAAGGTAGAAAGGAATGGACTATGCTGGGCAGAGAGCAAAGCATGGGAAAGGTTTAAATGTTCTCTGGTGTTGGGAGTGCCCCTCCAGCTGTTTCATCTGAGACAAAGGGGCCTGGAGAGACACTTGTTTAATGGCTGGTGCTTCCATTTGTGCACAGAAATCAATTGCTTTTCTCCTAGTCTTCACTCAAAACTTCTCATTCAAAATAACTAAAAGTTGGTTGCCCCTGTTTTTTTTTTTCTTTCCATCATCTCGCTACTGTGACTGAAATGTATGATTTAAGTATGGTATTAACTAGGGAAGGAATTCTAATGGTGAGGAGTCAGGAGTGAAGACATGGTTAGTTCATAGCCACATAATCTTCCCCCAGATAATTTATGTATGTATGTTTGTAGTTCCACAAATATTTACTGAGCGCCTACTAAATGCCAAGCTCTGTTTGAGGCCCAATGGACCCATCAGAGAAGACAAAGACTCTTCCCTCATGGAGCTCATATTTCAGCGAAGGAGACAGAAGATTAACATATATATATATACACATATACACGTGTGTGTGTGTGTGTGTGTGTGTGTGGTGATAGGTGCTATGAAAAAAAAACTGAGCATGGTACAGAAACAGAAAAAGAAAAAGGTTGAAGGGGCAATTTAGATCTGGAAGGGCAGGGATGGCATCTCTGATAAAATGACATTTGTGCCAGGACTTAAATGAAGTGATAAAATCAACCATGTTAATATCTATGGGAGGAACGTTCCAGGAAAATGGGTTAGCAAGGGCAAAGTTCTGCAATGGCAGTGAGTTTGCCGTTCTAAGAAACTATAAGACAGCTAGTGTGTGTGAAGAGGAATGAGAGAGAAGGAGCACAGTAGAGAACAAATTTGGAGAAGAAACCAGATCAAGAAGGACAGTAAAGGTTGTAATAAAGAATGTTTATTTGATCTAATTATATATTAGGAAAAGTTTTAAGGACTTTGAGCTATTGTGCAAAGAACTGACTGTAGGAAGTCAATATGGAATTTCACAGAAGGACCAGTTTGGAAGCTCTGAATCCTTTAGTTGAGAAAAGATGGTAACTTAGACTATGGTGGCAAAGCAGAAAAAACAGAAAAAATAATTCCAATTCTGGATATATCTTGGGATATGCTCAAAAGAAGTGTATGAGAAAGACAGAAATCAAGGAGAACTCACAAATGGACAATAGGTGAATAGTGATTCTTCTCACTGAGATGGGGACAACGTGAAGGAGTGTAGTTAGAGGAGGAAAATCAGTGATTCTGTGTTGAACATATTAAGTTAGATGTCTACTATACAACCAAGCAGAAATGCCAATTAGGCAAGTGGATATATTGATCTGAGTTCAGGGGAGATCAGCACTGGAGATAGAAATTTGGGATTCATTAATATTTAGATATTACTAAGAATTATGAGAGTGAATAGCAACATTAAAAGAAAATGATTCTATGTTTTCAATGAATATTCATTTGAAATGAATGTAGAAATCCAGTAGAAATGGTTTTTCGATTTTATAGAAACTACAACTCAGGATGTATGAGTATTGAAGATGAATGCTGGAAATAATACTGGTGTGAATCACAAATACTACACAGCCTCTGACTAACCCGCTATCAAAATATGAGGGCCCTCAGATAGAAACAAAGGGAGTGCTTATCTCTGACTAAAACACTAAGTCAGGTAAGAATAGAAAATGAGGAGCTGAACTTCCACTTAACCTCAGGGCAAAAGCAGCTGAAGGTGGCTACTGTGATTATTGTGATGGTGGTTCTGTATTGTACCCTCATATTGCAATTTGTGAAGGCAAACTGCTTTATAATTGACTTCAGTAATCCATCACAACCTACTCCATTTATGTGTCTTTTGGTCTTTTTTATTATCCTCATCATGGGTTTCAATGTGTAAGCCACTTTGATTCCCCTTAGAACATAAATCATAAATATAAATGCTTTATAATAAGAAAGTTGTGTCCATTAATAGGGAAATGGTACTGGTTTAACTTTATCAGTGAAGAGTAGAGGCCTAGGGAAATTCATTCTCCCATATTATTTAACAACGAAACAATGAAAGTGTGGAATGTTCAGATTCCAACAGGTCAGTGTCAAGGCTGGGATACTGCCTCCATCAACTCTATGTTTCTCATATCCCAAGTCATAGCCACCCATAACATGCAGCAAACAATAGCTTCTCTGAATCACATGTGCCTCTGGCTCTGTTTTGTCATTTAGGTAATGTGCTTGTTAATTTTGCACTATTTGACTGGGTTACAGGGTACCCAGATAGAGGGTAAAAAACATTATTTCTGGATATGTCTCCAGAAAAGATTATTATTTGAATCAATAAACTGAGTAAAGAAGGTTCACCCTCACTAATGAGGGCTGGCATCATCCAAGCCATTGAGGGCCTGAATAGAACAAAAGGCAGAGTAAGGGCAAATTCTCTCTCTCCTCTGAGGCCAAGACTTCATCTTCTCCTGCCAATGGACATAGAAGCTCTTGTTTCTTAGGGCTTTGGACTCTGGGCCTTATACCAGTGACACATTCTCACCATCACTATCACCCCCCACCCCAGATTCTCAGGACTCAGACTGAATGACATCACTGGCTTCCCTGGTTCTCTGACTTGCAGACAGCCAATGGTGAGAATTCTTGGCCTCTATAATTGTATGAGCCAGTTCTCATAATAAATATATATTGGTTCTCTTTTTGGTTCTGTTTCTCTAGAGGACCCTTAACCAATACAAGTCGACTGCCTTAACCTCACTCCTCTGTCACAAACATATTGTGTTCTCAGGAAACATCCCCTCCCTAGAAAGTTACACTGTGGATCCCAGGTGAGTCTCTTTTCACTCCCTGCCATCACGCCCTTACCTAGGACATCATCCAAGCCTTGGGCCTGTATGAGTCCTGGAGTTCTGCTTCCTGGAAGATGTTCAGATTTTAAAATCACAGGGCAATTACTTTTTGTAAAGATGATGGAGATTTTATAACATAATAAGATCAAAACATTAAAATTACAATTCACTCAAAAATGAATTCCTTCAGCATTCAGAAATGTTAGCCTGAAATTCACAAGGACAATGATGTTATTAATCTCTTTCACTGCTCCATGATCAGCATCTGGCAGTGTGTCCAGCACATTGTAGGCCATCAACTAAATGGACACTGTGGCATCACAGAGGCAGGGGATAGTGGTTGAAAGTACAGACGCTGGAGTCAGATCACCTGGGACAAACTGTATCTCTGCCCCTCGCTTGCTGTGTGGTTTTGGAAGCTTGCCTAACCACTCTATAAACCAGTGTCCTGACCTGTAGGAACACATAGTTCCTATGTCAGAAGATTTTTATGAGATTCAATAAGCCACTACACAAATAAAAGAATGTGGTAAACCCTCAATGTGTTTTTGATGTTAATGATGAATTACTTAAGAATTTAGAATGTTATGTGTGGAATAAGTTAAAATCCTAGCCTCTCCATGTAGTCCATCATTAAAATTAGTACTTTAATAATTAATAAATCGATCATTATTAACATTTTTAAATCAATAAATTGCCATTTATTCTACAGTGTGCTCTTCTAGCTTTGGTCTTTGTCAATGAATTTAGTGAATCTCCCGACCCTGATTTCCTCTGGCAAACTTGAATATCTGGAAATGTGGAAACCTTAACAGCAAACAGTGAACTGTAATGATAACATGATATCCCTCTCTGAGATATGTGCAAAGCTTCAGGCAGCTGTTTCTGTGTCTTTCCTGTTTCTCTCCTATAAATTCCATGACCTTTATAGGTGTGTTGAAATTAGAAAAGTTAGAAGTATTGTTGGTAAGTTCACTGCTCCCAACTTTCAAAGAGAAAGTTATCATCTGTTATCAAGGTTTACTATTTGCTATTCACATTTCCATGTTCCAAGATACTCAAGTTTGCCAGAGAAAATCGGGGTCAAGAGATTCACTAAATTTATTGATATAGACCAAAGCTAGAAGAGTTTGCTGTAGAATAAATGACAGTTTATTAATTTATAAAATTGTGAATAATGACCAAATTATTAATTTCTAATAAACAAAATAAAAACTACCCAGTAGACAAAATAATTGTGATCAGTTATGTTTTCAAAATTAGAAAAAATCTACATAAAAAGCAAGTTATAGTAAGAAAATTTTTGTTTCTTTTTTTCTTTTCTGTTTTCTTTAGGGATGGCTTGGAAACAGAGCATATTGGTTACTTTGATTAATGGCTGATGATATTAAAACAGCATAGCCTGATACATCCCTCACAACTGCAAAGATAAACCTGAATAATAGTTTTAGTTGCAAACACACATATCCCCCTGGCTTCCATACTTATATACTGGAGAAACGTGGACAATATCTTACTCTTTCTGGCCTTTTGTTTTTATTTATTTGGAGGGAAAGGAAGATGGATTTAGTTTATAAGACCATCTGAGTGACTTATGACAGTGATTGTATATAACTTTTCTAGTTACTTACATTCTCATAATGCCTTCTTCCTATTTCATCCAAATGACTTTGATTGAACTTTGACTTCCCAAATCTCCTCTGCTTATCTGTTAAAAAACAATAATAAGTAGGTCCGAATCTATTTATTTTTTTTTCAATTTTCCTTCAAACTTGGAGGCGGGGTAGGGCGAGATCTTACTTTTATCCCCGTGTAGTGAACACCAGATATTTCCAGAAAGCTTATAATCTAAAATTTAGTTCCCAGCCACTTCGAAAGTAAGTACATTTATTACATCTATTCTATTTTGCGTATTTGGGGTCGTACATGGGCCTCATTCATTGTTTAAATGGTGATGCAAGTTCTTTGTACTGAGTTAACAAGGGTCATGATTACGGAATACAGAGATTTTAGCAGAGATGTATTTCAACACATCTTTTCTTCAGCATTTTCTATCAGTAATGAAGAGATAGATGCTGTCCATTTAGAAGCATAGAACTAAAATGTTTTCCAAGAAACATCTCCAAAATGGTAAAGTTCAAATAGGTGAGATGTCATCCTTGGCTACGTGCTAACTCCACTTTCCAGTAAAGGGCAAATGTCTCACACAATTAACAAAGATTCCATCAAGCCCATAAAACGCCAGCCACTTTCAAATTGCCAGGAGATCTTTGGATTCTCTTCTGATTTTTTTTCCATTTAATTTTCTTCAGACATCCTAATACTATGGTGGAAAAGACAAATTAGTCTAATGCAGGATACTATAAAATGTTCAATTACTTCAAAAAGATATGGCCATTTCCCAAAGGAAGGAATTTAATCAAAACTAGATCAAAATGGGAAAATGGATGACAGAATATATAAATATTCTAACATATTTGAAGTTAAAGAAGACTTTACAAAAAGGCTTTAAAAATGAATATATCAGAGTAGATGTACAAACACTTAGAAGCATACAGTTTGTCCATCACCTAGTGGGATTTTAATGTTCAGATTTTACCGTCTAATATGACAGAATCTCTCAGACTTCAGTTTTATGTAAGGATGAATTTAATATTTAGAATATTTCCCATTAGTGGAAATTTTGTAAGTATCACAGCTTTTCAAAAATCTCCTTATAGTTCAACATATGAATCTGTAATAATTTTAAATTGTCTTTTTTCTAAACAAAAATTATTATGAAACAAAAACATTACAGAGGTCCAAGTTATTTTACATGGCCTTTCTTTTAAATATTATTTTTAAAACCATTCGCTGAGATCTCTGTTTAACCACCAAATCTAGAATAATTGTAGAGACTTAAATAAGGAAAATGTTCACATATCCAAAAACAGTATGAATTTTACTGTTATTTCTCAATTGTGTTTCTGTGTATTCTTTAGACATCTGTTATGTTTCAAAGATCAGACATATCCTTAGTGTGCAAATCCATGTAAATATCCTCATCCTATAAGATTGCCTACTTACCAAAAATAACAACAATAAATATGTTATTAAGTTGTTCATTAATCTTGAGACCTCCTATGGCATACATTTTTTTAAAAAGCCAAGAATTATTAACTGAATGTCAAAGGCCAGAAAGAGCAATGGGGGATGTTTCCAGTTTCAGGTATCAATGAGAATCAAAATGAAATGTAAACAGTATCAGATATTGTAACTCATTACCTATGTAACAATTTGGGAATAAACCACACTTTTCAGATATCAACTCTACAGAAAAGCAGTGTGAGGTAGGTTTTGATGTGGCACCCCTGCTTTTGATGACAGGTCTGTCTCAGAGCCATGTTATATGGGGTTGGGCCAGTTACTTAACCCATAATACAGTGCATGGTAAGAGCTGAACTTCATAATGATTATTCCAAATTACAATAAAAGTAAACATGTTTTAACATTCTACCTGTGAGGGCAGGAGAAAAGAAAATTAGTGCTTTTAATAAGTAAGGAACATTTTAAATCACTGAGAATAATATTATCAAATATTGGAAAAACAGACAAAAGAAAAGGAATGAACTAGTTTAAAAAGAAGTACAAAGAACTAAAAGTCTTCACTTTTACCAGTGACCAAACATGTTTATATTTATTGTACCATATTGATATAGAATATTATTCAGTTATTAAAATAATAGCAGGAGAAGTTTTTAATCACAGCATAAATTTTTTGACACATTGAATAAAAGAAGAGAATGTCAAATTATCTATGAAATGAGATCTCAGTTTTAGAGGAAAATTTATATCTGTACTGATATACAGTAAAACATCATCAAGAATGTTTATCTCTGAATTGTGGAATTATGTATGATTTTCATTTATTTTATACCTTTAGTATGTCCCAAGTTTTCTACAATGAGCATTTAGTACTTCCATGATCACACAAAGAAATTTTTCAATGCCAAGAAATGTAAAAACTTCTAGACTCGGTTCTACCATCAATAAGCTAAGTGACCTATGGGACGTCGCTTCATCTTACAGAGTCTCAGCTTTCTTATCCGTAAAATGAGAAAATTGAACTAGATCACCTCCTAAGGTCACTTTCACTTCTATAATTTTATGAATCAATAATGTACTATTAACACTATTATATCCAAAGAAAACAAAGACTAATTGAAGCAATTGTAGCAACAAAAGTTATGACATATGGATTAAGCCTAGTAGGTATTTTTTTAAAACTACAAATGACTGGCCATTATTCTCTATGAATTAATATCTTATCCTGTTTATGATACTAAATTCTCAAAACCATTTCAAAGATAATATTCAATATTTCTTTAATAATAGCCCTGTAAGTTTTGCAGGACACAGTCACCCAAGCTGAGTGATGCTGAATAAGGCCAGAGCTGGGGTCACAGTCCTTTCCTGGTCCCTAACCACCCACAGGTCTTTTCTCACTCTGTGAGTCTCTCCTGAGCTGTCCTTGTCCCTTATTCTAATTCCATCAGGTGTGTGTTGCAGTTTTATTGAGCCATTTTCAGAGCCAATTAATCAGAAAACACTGTTTTTCCATGATTTGGGGGATTCCTCTAGTAATGACTTTGCAGCCATAATCAAGAAATATGTTAAGCCTTATGTCAATTAACTTAACTGATGTGAAAACTTGACTGGTCCAGGGAGCAATGGATTTCCCCAGCTGCACCTTATCAGAGAACAGCTTAGTGTGAAGGAGAGAAGTTATGCTGAAGCCAGAGCTGTAAACGTGCCAGGAAAATTAGCACAAGCTCCAAGTACAGAGGGTGAAGAAGAAAACTTGCTTAGCCCATGTATGGGTGTTGCTTAAACAGTTATGAATTATTTTAAAATCTTTCATTGATGGGATGAATAGTCGCATACATTTTTGCCACATGTAAGTTTCTCCAAAGAATTGGGCCCACAAGAGAAATGGAGGAGGGGGGCCTACATGCAAGCAGATGAGGGGCATTTGCTTCCCCAAAAATATTCTTATATTTTTTATAATGTGCCTCATTAAAATATGAAACACTCAATTCAAAGCAAAAATTGAAATAGGATACTCCTGACTCTTCCCTTTCTTCCCTCTATTTCCTCATGATATAGTCTTAGCACTTCTTTTAAATGTTACAATAGTGCTTCACAAACAATTTTTTTTGCCAGTCCGTCACAATGAATGTTTTTGAAAAATATAATAAAAACAAATTATCACAAAAGTGAAATAAGAAGATGAAAAAACTAAGCACACTTTGTGGTTATTATATTCAACAGTCATGAAAATCACACCACAATTTGCCATGAAAGTTTCTTAACATTTAACTCTGTACAAGTATCGTTGCAGAACAATAAGGCCACAACACGTACACAAGCACTTTGTCTTAGCACCATATCAACAATTACCTGTAAAGCTTTATCTTGGCATTTTCCACTATGCAACTGTTGGTTTACACAGCCCCATTAGACTGGGAGTTCTGTAATGGGTAAGCCAGCAGTTAACACTTGGAGGCACTCAGTAAGTATTTATTGAATGAATAAGTCAATGAATAAGTGAAGCACAAAAGAGCATAAGCCTTTCTGCTCTTAACACCTACAGGCACTCTTCTTACATCAGGAAAGCTCCCATGCTCTCCTGATTCCTTTGCCCCAGATTCCAAGGGTACAGATGCTTTTCTCACCTTTGGTGGTAACTGCCACCTGCTTGTCCCAAAGAGCTTCTTTGTTTCCCTGTCTTCCCACAAAGGTGATAACAAAGATTTTTTTTACAGTTTAAGAGTATCAGTGCCAATCACTTTTCAGACAAAACAAGATAAAATGCAATAAATAAACACGGAGGAAGTTATAAAAATTTCAACATAAAGCGCAGATCTATCGTCTTGTTTTCTGCTATTCAGAGCACTAAAGACACTGGGTTTTGTGTCTTTATCTGTGGGTTTCTCTAGTTTATCCATTTGATTTACTGAGTTTGTGTGAAAATATTGATTAAATCTTTTCTTAGAACCAGTTGAGAACCATTTGCTACTTTCCCCAGCTCTGATATTAACTTCTAATTTAAAAAAAAAAAGAAGTGTGCAAGTATATTCGTTTTCTATTGCAGCTGTAACAAGGAACCATAAACTTAATGGTTTAAAACAACAAAAATTTATTGTCTCACGACTTCTGTAGGTCAGAAGTCTAACACAGTCTCACTGAGCTGAAATTACAGTGTTAGCAGGGCTGCATTCTTTTCCAGAGGTTCTAGGAGAAATTTCATTTCATTAATATTCAGGTCATTGAAAGAATTCAGTTCTTTGAGGTTGTGTCACTGAGTCCTCATTTCCTTGCTATCAACTGAGGGCTGTTCCAAGCTTCTAGTGGCCACCAGGTCTCTCTGCTTGAGTCTTCCTCCATCCTGAAATCCAGCAACAGCTAGTGGAGATCTTCTCATGATGAATCTCTCTGACCCAAGCTGGGAAAGCGTCTCTGCTTTTAAGAGCTCCTGTGACTGAACACAGTCCATCTGTATAATCCAGAATAATTTCCCCATCTCAAGATCTGTAACCTTTTTCATATCTGTGAAGTTCCTTTAGCTATGTCATGTAACAGGTTCGCAGGTTATAGGGACTAGGGGATGGACGTATTTGGGGACCTCACCCTGCCTATCTCAACAACAAATTTATAAATTTATTCTAGGGTAAAAAAGAAAATTATAAATGTATGTTTTTAACTTTACATCATCCTTGGATAAGGTCCTAATCTTATATGAGCACTCAGGACAAGGCTCTAAGAGATTTTATGGTGGAGTCACACTGTGTGCATCGTCATACTGGGAAAGGACTTTGTACTTTGTTTATTTTGTTCATCTGGTCCTTTGGATTGTCCCCCACATGCTCTTTCAATCCCAGTGCACCCTCCAGATTTCTGTCATTGTCAACTTATGCCCCAATTCTCTGCATAAAATTCTAAAATTGTAGATCAAAAATCCACACTATAATATTAAATCCCATTTATTTTGTTTGGCAAATCTGATTCTTCATAATTTGATCTCACCCTATTTTATAACCCCATTTCCCACTATTTCCCCTTCATTTCCTATAATACACCAAAATACTTGCAAAATTCTGTGCCACTTATGCTTATCTTTGCACATGCTCTTCTTTCTGCTTGGATGGAACTTCCTTTCTGCTTGGATGAAATTTCTCTTTGGGGACATGTGATATAATTGAAATAGCATCAGCTTGGAAACCATTTTGATTTGTATTTGACCTAGTCACTCTGACACTTACTAGGCCTGAGACTTTCAGAAGCTCCTTTGCCTGTGGTGCAAAATGGGATTATTAAAACCTACTTTGTAAGAATATTTTGAGGCTTTGAAATAATACACATGAAAGCGTATAACACAACGTCTGTCATATGATGGACATTTACTAAATGTTAGTTATTCTTTTGCCCTAGAGAACCTCATTTTTCCTCCAGGCTTAAGTTCACCACTTCTGTCACATTGCCCAGACCCATCAGGTAGAGTAAGATTCTCAACCTTGAGTCTTCCATAACTGTGTATATTTAGCACTATCACATTTTAGTGGGCAATGTCTATACCCACCTGTGTCCTCTAATACCTTATAAACTTCTTGAGTGAAAGAATGTCTTGTTTATCATTTTAGCCATAGCACCTGGCAAAGGTACAAATTAGTCATTCAAAAGTCTGGAGGAAGAGATGGATGGATGGATGGATGGATGGATGGATGGATGGATGGATGGATGGATATGAGATAAATGTAGAATCTAGCATAATAACTAACAAATAATACATATGCTTCATTTACTTTAAATATACCAGTTGTGTAAGTATATCATTCTGGCTGTGTTGTTTTGTCTTTTTATCTCTTTGGCTGCCTTGTTCACTGAATAACTGTATGTTTACATTTTTATTCCTATAGTTATGTTAAATTCCTAAAAGGTTGTGTCTTTCATTTCTTTGCTACCTTCACTCAAGCAAAACATTTGCATTCTATACATTGTGACCCTTCGGTGCAGTTCAACAGAGTAATCTGTTTTTAACTTTGCACCATTCTTGGATAAGGTCCCAATCTTATATGAGCACTCAGGACAAGGCTCTAAGAGATTTTATGGTGGAATCACACCATAAAATCTACCTAAAAAACTAATATTTAGGGTTTCTGGATAGAGCAAGAGCTGCTTCTTAGAAAGCAAAATGATCACACAGGAAAGTTTCACCAGCCAACCTAAATACAGTAAGAAATACTGTAGACTTTGTAGTGTCAAAACCACCTGTGTTTGCTCATTGGCCTTATGCAAAGTTAAAGTTAAATTTTTGGAATCTTCTTGAAAAGAGGTAGTTTTACAACTTGGAGCAAGGCACCTAATGACGTTAGGCTCCTATCCTCCCATAGAAACTGGGAGATAGGGGCACTATCCTTCTTGATTATTACATTTCAGAGAATGGTCTCTGGGTCCTTAAGAAAGACATTCCTTAGTTGTAAAACTGGCAAGAGGCCTTTAAAAAGATTTACTTCCCCAAAGGACAGAGAAATGATTTACAAATACAGGTTTTGTAAAGTAAATGCTTAAAGAAAAGGGGTGTTAGGAGCCTAGAGTCAAGAAGCCTGCCTGTCTTAAAGTTTAGTCAACCAGAGGGGAATGCTAAGGTCCTCTTGGTGAGGAGGAACCTAAGTGTATATTTCTGGATCAGAAAGGATGGGTTCCTGAGATGTCCCTTGAAAAATAGGGTAGTTACAGGAGAGGAAATTATTTAAAGGAATCAGTTTATCATAGTGCAGCTCAGCAGGTCTATTCATTAGCAAATTGCACTGAACTAGCCCGTGGCTGTAGTAGAGTAGGTATACCTCCAAATCCTTATGTATTAAGGAAATTTACATTAAAAGACAGAGATTTAGGCCAGGCACCATGGCTCACCCCTATAATCCTAACACTTTAGGAGGCTAAGGCAGGAGGATTGCTTGAGCCCAGGAGTTGGAGACCAACCTGGGTAACATAGTGAGACCCCATCTCAATAAATAAATAAATAAATAAATAAATAAATAAATAAATACCTGTAGTCCCAACTGTGTGGGAAGTTGAGATGATGGGAGGAACTCTTGGTCCTGGGAAATTGAGGCTGCAGTGAGCTGTGGTTGCACTGCTGCACTCTAGCCTGGGTGACAGAGCAAGACTCTGTCTCAAGCAATCAACCAACCAAACAAAAACCCAGAGATCTCAATCTGGTTTCATACAATATATATGTACAAGTGTCTGTATTTCAGAAAGTATTACTGCTTTAGAAAATGCCTAGCTTTACTTTTTATTTCACATTTTACTAACAATTAAAAGGCAGTGGAGGTTACAACCCCACATCATGGCCCGTGCTATCCCTTCCTTACAATTCTGTCAGAAGGGGGTGACTTAGAAAGAAAAGCTTACATATTGCTCTTGGTGGAGCACTGTGATTAATCTCAGACATTCTCCAGAATAATTTTAAAATCATAATATTTTAGATATGTTTCTTCCTTTACCCTTCACATTTATCCAAAGCTCTTGGTTCTGCAATTCCCTAAAACATACTTTAGGCATTAAGTAAAAAGTGAGAAGTAACGAGAGTAACATTATTCGCTTCTCTTCTTCCTAGGGTATCTTATTTTCTTCAAGCTTTCTTTCTTCCTTCTTACTCCTATCCCATCTTTGTTATTTCCTCTATTCTGAACATGATCAAACTTTCTGGTTATCAAAATGTATATGTGGGTATGTGTGTGTGTGTGTGTGTGTATACATGCCTGCATGTTTGGGGAGTGTAAGCATTTACAATAAGCAGCTAATTTCACAGGATGACAGTCCCACAATTATCTGGTTATTATTTGTAACCAGGTAACTTGGCTAGACTTGTGGGTAGGTCAGCAGAGCTCATAGGCACACTTCTATGCTCATTATACAAAGATGGTTAAACAAAGAATGTATATCTAAGTATGCATCCAATGTAGGAAGAAATGAATTCTGCTTGTGAAATGAATGAATTCTATTTTTGAAATACATCGTATTTATGAAATTATGCTTGTGAAATGAATCTGACATATATACAGAAAATATTTCAAATGCCTCATAGACTACACATCAACAAAAGGAACAAAAGAAATCCAAATTTTGTATTATTCTTCCCTCTCTTTCTTGTCCTCTTGGCTCTTCATGCTTGTGTTCAGGCATAATTTTTAAACACTTTTCTTAAGCCAGTTTTCACTGAAGAGGTCAGGTGAGGTTAGGTTCTTTACGGTAAGTCACACTTTATCAGTGTGAAATTCTGTTGTACTTGTCATTTCTCAGTTAATTAAGCCAGATATCTCCTTAGAGATCTTTTTCATATGAAATTGGAAACTGGCTTCATGTTAGTGATTGTACCAAAATGGGCTTTAAAATGTAAAAGTCTCTAATCCTCTTTTAGAAGGGCAAGTGTTTCATGTCACCTTGTCTGCAGAGCAAAATCTCTTTCTGAATGAAAGATGCAGCTTTGCAAAACTGCACACTATGATTATAAATCAACCAGTACAATAACAGTACTGCAGACAAAACCTCCTAAGATAATCTCTTTAGCATAAAATTGTATTCAGCAAGATGAAAATCCTAACAAGATTGTGATTTCTGTCGGTTTAGCTTTTTACGCATGCCATTTACACTAAGATTCTTTTTTCATACTCATATTACCAGTTCACCTGGAGAAAAATGGCTTATTATATAATCAGGGTTCATATGCATGGACCACAATGGGCATGAAGCATATGAGGATTTATATCAAGAGTCAAAATTCTTAACAGATTGGCAGTTGCTCAAAGAAAGGAAATAAAAGTGATTAGATGGCCACGATTGCTCCTGAATTCAGAATAAAGGAACTGAGGTGCACAGCTGGACTACATCACACCAGGAAAGAATGAGGAGTCTCTGAAGAGTGTGACTTCAGAGGAGAAGCTGGAATTGTTTATTGTTGCCCCAGGGAGGTGTAATTGGGGTTAATGGGATAAAATTAAGCACAGAAAAATTCATGATGTCTATCAGGAAATACTCCCTAATAAAGAGGTCTTTTATAAAATTGTCCCAATGGAAGGATTAGAAGTCCTTTTGTTTGAGTGATTCAAACTTTACGTGGGGAAATATATGGAAAAATAGGCTGCAAAAGACAATCTCATACAAGTCCTCAAGGGATGAATTACGTAGAACAATCAGATCTTTCTTGGCTTTAATTTTCATGAGTCTATTTTAGTAAGCTCCTTAAAGACTCAATTTTCAAAGCGCTTGTTGAATCCCTTCTGCATTGCACCTGCATTAGTAGCAGGTTCCAAAGAACTGAGTTTGCAATTGTGTACTATGACGATTGAGACTCTTACCTGAGAACCTGGAAACCTGAAGTCATTTGCAATGACTTCAGCTGGTATTTATGGATGTAAACATAGTTTATGTAAAACTCAGTATAGTAAATAAAGTTCTGAAGAATGCTAACAGCAAACTGAACTAATTGGTACACTGAATTCCTTGTCTTATTTGAGTTCATCACATCCTTTAATTAATTAAATTAGACTTTATTGAGAATCTTCTATCTGCTGGTCGTTGAGTAAATGCTGGGGTTAACATGAAATGTTAACATTTTCATGTTAACCCCATAAAAAAGCAGGCAAACGACATGAACACTTTTTTTTCCATATGATTGTTGGCCACATGAAAAGACGTATATGTGGCCAACAATTATGTGGAAAACAAGTTCAACATCACTTATCATTAGAGGAATGCAAATCAAAGCTACAATGAGATACCATCTCACACCAGTCAGAATGGCTATTACTAAAAGTTCAAAAAATAACAGATGCTGGAGCGGCTGTGGAGAAAAAAGAAGGCTTATACACTTGGTGGGAGTGCAAATTAATTCAATCATTGTGGAAGACAGTGTGGCGATTCCTCAAAGACCTAAAGACAGAAATACTATTCAATCCAGCAAGCCCATTACTGAGTATACACCCAAAGGAATATAAATCATTCTATCAGAAACACACATATACACATATGTTCATTGCAACACTAGTCACAATAGCAAAGACATGGAATCAACCTAAATGCCCATCAATGATAGAGTGGAGAAAGAAAATGTGGTACATTCACTGTAATAGTTAAGATTCTCCAGAGGGACAGAACTAATAGGATATATGTATAAATGAAAGGGAATTTATTAGGGAGAATTGGCTCACAGGATCACAAGGCGAAATCCCATGATAGGCTGTCTGCAAGCTGGGGAAGAAAGAAGCCAGTAGTGGCTCAGTCCAGGTCCAAAAACCTCAAAAGCAGGGAAGCCAACAGTGCGGCCTTCGGACTGTAGCTGAAGGCCTGAGAGCCCCACGCAAAGCACTTGAGTCCAAAGGCTGAAGAACCTGGAGTCTGATGTCCAAAGGCAGGAGGAACAGAAGGAGACATCCAATATGGGAGAAAGATGAAAGCCAAAGGACTCAGCAAGCCAGCTTATCCCACCTTCTTCCACCAGCTTTGTTCTAGCCATACTGGCAGCTGATTGAATGGTGCCCAACCACGTTGAGGGTGGGTCTTCCTCTCCCAGTCCATGGACTCAAATGTCAATCTTGTCTGGCAACACCCTCATAGACATACCCAGAAACAACACTTTACCAACTATCTAGGCATCCTTCAGTCCAATCAAGTTGACATCTAATATTAACCATCACATGTACCATGGAATACTATGCAGCCATAAAAAAGAATGAGATTATGTCCTCTGCAGGGACATGGATGGAGCTGGAGGCCATTATCCTTAGTAAACTAACACAGGAACAGCAAATCAAATACCGCATTTGCTCACTTATAAGTGGGAACTAAGTGATGAGAACACATGGACACACAGAGGGGAACAACACACACTTGTGCCTACCAGAGGGTGGAAGTCAGGAGAAGGGGGAGTAACAGAAAAAATAACTAATGGGCACTAGGCCTAATGACACCTGGGTGATGAAATAATCTGTATGACAAACTCCCATGACACAAGTTGACCTATGTAACAAACCTGCATATGTACCCCTGAACTTAAAATAATAGTTTAAAAAATTTTTTAAACATTTTTAAATGAAAATGTTAAATTTGATATAATTTTCCATTCTCTTTTAAATGCACTCTGGCTAAAGACTGTGTCTTTTCTACATTTTCATGCCTAGTACCTAACCCAATGTCTGGCACAGACAATACTTATTAAATGAATGAATGAATGAATGCTTAAGACTACCACATTTGGTATATTACCTTAGTTTCCATGAACTCATTTATGCCTGTCTTTCAGCATACTAATTACAAAGATATATTTTTACATAAATAAATAAATAAGCAAAATGAACAACGGTTTAGGTGCCTTGTCCAAGATCTTCTAACTTGTTTTATTCCAAAGTTTCTGGATAAAACGCCTTCCCAAAAAACTGGCTGCCTGAGGCCCCTTCCTCATCTCTAACTGAAAGTAAAGCAGTTGTTTAAAGAAAGTTTCCTTCTGCTTTCGACACTGGCCTTTTTAGACACAGGTGTGAACCCATTTCGTTTTTGTTTGTTTGTTTGTTTTGGAAGAGGGAGGAAAGATTAAGATCTTTCTATGACTTTCTTTACCCTTCCACTATGACCAGCCCTGCAAATGCCTAGACTCAAGATCGCTAATCTTCCACACTGCTGGATATTGAAAGAATATTTAAATAGGCAAGCTGGGCACAGTGACTTGTTTCTGTAATCCAGAACTTTGGGAGGCCTAGGAGAAGGATCACTTGAGGCCAGGAGTTCAAGACCAGCCTGGGTGACATAGCAAGATCCCATCTCTATATAAATAAACAAATGCAATTTTTAAAAAAAATAGAAAGAAGGCAACTTACAATGAAAAAAACTAGAAGCAAAATGAAGAAATTCATAGTAGAGTGGAAATATATCAGTAATTGAACCAGGAGCTCTGGTGCTTTTTCAGACTATTGAAAACCCCTCCTTCCTCATCTTTATCTTTAGGTCTCTCATGTCATTAGTCTTCCTTCATGTTATATATCATAGAAGCATTTTATTTCTTTAATCTGCAAAACATATTTAAGTGTTAGAAGACATTTGCTTTTATTTTAGTATTTAATATGGCTCTCATGTAGTTTTCAGTCTTTTTTTACAGGTTTTCCAAAATAAGTTATTTGCTTCATTTTAGTTTTTTCTACTTTACATCTAAGTTTTGTACAAAACCTGTAGGAAGAAAGTTTTAGTGACATTGCTAGAATTCTGTGTATTCATTTGTAATCTTTTCTTCTATTCCCTCCACTGTCGCCCTTTTTATTAGCAAAGAGCAACTCTGCTGCTATTAAACTGAAATTTTATGCTAAAGGACATTTTATCCCTTGCCAACTTTAAAATATGTATTTGAAACATCATTTATCTGTCCTCTGATGTGATCTTCCATTCATTCTCTACATTTTTTCCCACATTTCCTTTTGTTGAACAGATATAGATTTGTTTGGTCATTGACAGGCATCATTTGCCTTGCTGTTATTTCTCTCTGCACGCTTCAACATTCCTGTCACTCTCATATATTGATACATATTATTACTTACTGGATCCCTGTTCTCATTTTTTCCCAAATTTACTAGATGTGTGTACCTTGTGAAGGAGTCAAAAGTCACTTACATTTTATTCAACTAAACATGATCAGATATCAAACCAGATACCTGCACTTATGAAGTTGTGGTTCATCTGTGACAAGAGCACATATGACAGTGAAAAGATGTTTCATCTAAGTTTAGGCCAATTGATGCATGTCTGTAGAATTAAAACAGGCTTCTTTAAGATATGTGTTATGTTTTCCAAAGCAGCCAAACAGAACAGGCTGTAGTCATTAAAAGATAATTGTCCCAGTGGGGTGGAGCTTCCTGAGACATGTATGTTTGTGTAAGGTTGTCCAGAAATGAGGCAATCTAATGAGTGACTTGTTATCTTTGAAATATAAAATATGCCAGGACACTAAATTAAATAGACCCAAATAGTCTTAAACAGAATGGGCTCAAATAGGAAAGTCAATGTTATTGAGATTAAGAATAAATTAACTCCCACTTCAATATGTGTCAACACCATGTTTATTAAGTTTTTAACTAATAAGGTATGTCACTTTATGAGATTCTCTTTATTGAGGGAAGATAGAAAAACAAGAGAACAAAGTTGTGAATACTTACAGTATCTGACTTCCTTTTTGTAGGCATTCCAGTTCAGTGAATTAAATTGACAAGAGAATGTTTGCATATTATCCCCAAGTTTCATTTGGGGATTATTTTCTTAATGTTTTGAGAGAAGACTCAGCTTTAGACTCCAGTTCTAACAACCTGAAATGCTATCAGCAGTCCCAGATCCCTCCCTCTACTGCACACTTGCCTCCCCCTTGACTTTCCTGTTACAAACAGCTGTAGAACTCAATGTTTGCTTGTGTCTCCTCAAAACTCATATGTTAAAATCCTAACCCCCAGTGTGGTTAGGAGGTGGGGCCTGTTGGAGGTGATTAAAACCCTCATAAGAATATATTTTAGAAAGCTCTCTTGCCCCTTCCGCCCTGTGAGGGCACAGAGAGAAGACAGTCCTCTATGAGCCAGGAAGAGGACCCCACCAGACGCAGAATCTGCCGGCACCTTAATCTTGGACTTCCCAGCCTGCGTAACTGTGAGAAATAAGTGTCTGTTGCTAAATCTAGCCAGTCTATGGTATTTTTGCTATAGCAGCCTGAACAGACTAAGACATCAACAAAGACACTCCGGAAGCCACTGCTTGGTTAGGCCGCAGTTCCCACCTGACCCCAGTTGCAGAGCCTCACTGATTAATCTCTCTGTCTCCTACACTATCCATTCTGCCAGGGAATTCTGCTTAAGTTACAGCTTCAATTGGGTGATTTTTCTCTTTTCTAAAACATTCAATGGTTCCTCATTGTCCATTGAATGAACTACAAATACCTCAGCCCAGAATTCAAAGCCTTGTACAATATAGCTCCAACCTCTCTCTCCAGCTACATCACTTTCTATTCTCTGACATAAACCCTATCTTTTAGCAAAATTGAACATCTTATATTTCCTCACATTGTCTGGTATCTTCTCCTCTCAAGGGCAGTGTTTCCAATTTCCTTTATGAGGAGCCTATCCTTCAGAATTATTTTAAATATTGCCTACTATAACAATAACTTTTCTGATTTTTCAGTCATATATCCTATTTCACTTCCTTAACGCTATTCATTTTTGCCACATGTATTGTACTTTGTATCATGTTGATTTTATTGGGCATGCCCCTAGCATTAGCCCGAGAGAGTAAGCACTGCATCTAACTCTACAGAACACCTCCTGCAGCCACCAGAACAGGGCCAGACACACGGTGGCAGATCATCTATGTAATCTTGTTTTCCACAAAGACTAATCAAGTAGACAGCATATGGATGTGCAAAGCACAATGTTACTAACTTTACAATAGGGTTGCATAGGTAAAGTCAAAACATTGTTGAATCTCATTTTCTAACATGCATTGACAAATTTTTCTAAGCCACCAATTCTTACCAAGAGTTTAGAATATTATTTTAAGTTAGTAAATATTAACTAAAGGATCTAGTCTATATTATATAAAATATTAATTTAACATTTAATATTTCAAATGATCTACAACAGGAATGCTCATCCTTCTCTCAGAAACCCTCTGCGTTCTCTCCTCACTTTCTTTCGGTTTTTGTCCACATGGTACTTTCTCAAGGAAGTCTGCCCCCTAGCCACCCTGTCTGAAATTGCAACACACACACACACACACACACACACACACACACACACACACACACACACACACACACACACACACACCCCCTATCTCCCTTTCCTGCCTTATTTTCCTCCGTCACACTTATCACTAATACACTGCAATGGTCTAAATGTTTCTCCCAACATTCATGTGTTGGAAATATATTTCCCAATGCAACAGCGTTGGGAGGTGGAGCCTAATGAGAGGTGTTGAAAGCATGATAGTAAAAGTAAAATAGTGCTTATCGGAGAAAACATTCACAAGCAGAGAAGTGGCAGAGTACACATGATCCATGTGCCTTATTAGCCCACAGAGTGGCACGCTTAGACAAAGGTGAACAGAGGCACAGGAATAAAAGGAGACACTCTCCTCTTGCCATTTTTCATAATCCCAGGAGAAGTGAATGGAACAGGGAACACCTAGTTGACTGTGTAACAGTGAAAGCTTCCGCTCAGAGAATGGCCCTGTTAAAAATGGGCAGTTTCATAAAAAAGAATGAGATCATGTTCTTTGCAGGAACATGGAGGCCATTATCCTTAGCAAACTAACGCAGGAACAGAAAACCAAACACCGCATGTTCTCACTTCTAAGTGGGAGCTAAATGATGAGAACTCATGGATACAAAGAAGGGAACAATAGACACTGGCGTCTACTTGAAGCAGGAGGATGGGAGGAGGGAGAGCAGCAGAAAAAAGTAACTGTTGAATACTAGGCTTAGTACCTGGGTGATGAAATAATCTGTACAGCAATGCCCGCCCCCCGCCCCACCTACACAAGCTTACCTGTATAGCAAACCTGCACACGTACCCCTGAACATAAAAGTTAAAAAAAAAAAATAGGCATCTCCTCTTGAGCCAGATTCCCGCTACTCTACTAAAAAAAAATAAAAATAAATTTAAAAAAAGCTTCCAGGCGCTTCCAGAACAATCTTTCCTCAGTCCACTCTGGGTCTGCGGGAACTCAGTGTAGATAAGTCTATTAATCAGCTGTGGCCAATACCAGATTTTTTTTGCTGTTTAGGAGTTTGGTATTAATAAGTGTCTCCTGCAGTTAATAAGTGTCCCTTTCATCATTCAGGTAAAGAATGATGTCTTAAATATTAGGATAAGTTCATATTAAGAGCCACTGCTTGGGAAAATCTTAGAAAGCTGTTTGAGGCTGTCTGTCCACATCTGCAATAGCAATGAGTTATTCAAATCACTCACTTCACCCTGAAATCTTGATCCTCCTATTTAGATTGTCTGAGTATGTGTCCAATCCAATGAAGAGTATCAACGTACCTTGAGAATGAGCCACGGATTTTTGTCTGCTTTTTTCATTATTGTATCCAACTACACAGAATGGTTTCTGGCACATAGTAGGCACCCAGCAAACATTTTTTTGCCTGAATAAATAACTGAAATATTGACAATCAATGCAGTGCCCTGCCCTCAATTCCTTCTCTCATGTCTGCATCATCAGTAAAGATACAAGGGTTGTGTTAATTCAATGTAAGAGTTTATTGCCAATTTAGCCACTTATAAATTTCCCTTTACTACAATGTGAATAAGCTGGTAACGGAACAAAATTCCTTATAGTAACCAACTTTCAAACCTTGTTATTAATTATAGTATGTGCTATATTATCATGCTAACACTTTATTGCTTTTCCTATTGCAGCTTCAGAACAGATAGTTACCACACATGATGGTGCGGGGAGGCTAGTTAGATGGCCTTCAAAGTACTTGGCCCTCCCTGACCTTGATAACCCCATTTATACTCAGATGATGCTATTACTTCATACCACGTTTCCTTTTAACTTCTTATTATCTCTAAGGCTCTCTGCCAGGATGAGAAAGATGCCACTCATTTGTTCTCTAACCACCTCTTTCTGCCCCTTATCAGTGGGCTTTCACCCACTGGCTCTCATAGACACTTTTCTCCAGATTGCATAATATTACATATTTCTATACCACATAGCTTGTATCTTGACAAATAGAATACTATAATGCCAAATAGCTCCTAATTCTCCTTTACATTACCTTCTGAAAATATGCTTTCAAACATTTTACCCCTTCCTTACTACGTTTTCTTTGACATCCTCTAACATAACTTTCTCTTTTCTTTTTCATTTATAAAGGCAGTATCAAACTTGCATGTTGCAACATTTGTCATTGTTATGATAACCACATAAGGTCTATTAACAATCTGAATGGGGAAAAACTTATATTAATAACCCATTCTGTTGTATTTGTCATTATAAATCCTTTTGCTATCACATTATGAATTTTGGAAAAAACAGAAATAGGAAGGGGAAATATGTCTCCAAAATGTGCAGATGTATACCCCATAATCTCAATTTCAGTGTCCTTTATCTCCTTATCCCTCTCTTTCTCCCTAGTTTCTCTCACTCCCTGGTTCTCTCACACCTTTCTGTTGTTATATTTAGAAGTAACTATTAGATGTTTGGTGTATAAGAGTTCATAGCTCATATTAGTTTACCAAGGGCTGCTATAACAAAATACCACAAACTAGGTGGCTTAAACAACAGATATTTATTTTCTCATAGTTCTGGAGACTGGAAGTCCAAGATCAAGGTGTTGGCAGGTCTGGTTTCTCCTGAGGCCTCTCTCTGTGGCTTGCAGGTGGCCACCTTCTTTCTGTGTCCTCATGTCATGTTTTCTCTGTGTGAACCCATCCCTGGTGTCTTTTTGTTCATCCAAATTTCCTCTTCTCATAAGGACATTAGTCAGATTGGATTAGGACCCCCTCCCTAAGAGCCTTATTTTGACTTAATTACTCCTTTAAAGGACACACCTCTAAATATAGTCATATTCTGAGGTACTGGGCTGAGGGCTTCCACATTTGAATTTAAAAGTTGGGAGGGGCACAATTCACTTTATAAATATTTCTTCATAAGAGAGAAAAATATAGTCATAAAAGTATAGAATTCAAAGTAAGTTATGAAAAATGTGATAAACTCTAAAGATTAGGTTACAATACACGATGCTTTTTGCTTTAGTTGGTTAGATATTTGATTGTTATTTTGTTTTTGAAAGAAATAAGATATGAGCTAGACCACAAGAGGATACAATTTGACTTCAAAGGATAGGATTTCTGCAGTGAAATTGGAGAAAAGTGAAGGGAATAAATTGCACACATCCCAGTGGCAGGAAAACAAAGGACTCATTAAAGAATAGAGAATTGATCTGGCTGGAATGTTGACTATCGGAGAGCGTTGGTTTGCAGGAGCAGGAGCAGGGGTGCCCCTGGGTAAGAAGAAGTCTAGAGGGATTTCAGACTAGAAAAGGTAAGTAGAACTTCACTGTAAATCTGAGGAATTTGGATTTTATTCTGTCAGTGACAGGAAAGAATTAAAGTCAAAGTGCTCTTGATAGTTCTTTTGTTTGCATGTACTGTTCAGTGTTGAAAATGGGTAAACCTGGAGAACATTATGCTAAGTGCAATAGGCCAGGCACAGAAAGTCAAACACCATGTCTCACTTATACGCAGAATCTAAAAAAGTTGAACTTATAGAAGCAGAGAGTAAAATGGGGTTGGGGGAAAGCAGGGTGATTGGGGAGCTGTTTAGCCAAAACATTCAAACTTTTAGTTAGACAGAAGGAATAAATTCAAGAGATCTATTGTACAACATGGTGACTATATGTATAATATTAGTTCTTGCACTGCTATAAAGAAATATGTGAGACTGGGTTATTTACAAAGAAAAGAGGTTTAATTGGCTCACAGTTCTGCAGGCTGCACAGGAAGCATAGCAGCTTCTACTTCTGGGGAGGCCTCAGATAACTGCCAGTCATGGCAGACGCAAAGAGGGAATGAGGCACTTCTTACACAGCTGGAGCAGGAGCAAGAGATGGAGGGAGGTGCCACACACTTTTAAACAACCACATCTCACAAGAACTCAGTCACTATCAGGAGAATAGCACGAAGGGGGCAATCTGCCCCCATAATCCAATCATCTCCCACCAGGCCCCACCTTCACCATTGGGATTACAATTCAACATGAGATTTGGGTGGGGACACAAATCCAACCCATGTTACTATAGTTGATAAAGGGTTGTTTACTTGACAACTGCTGAAAGAGCAGATTTTAAATGTTCTCGACATGAAAAATAAGTATATAAGGTAATAAATATGTTAACTAGATTGATTTAGCCATTCCACAGACATATTTTAAAACATGGTGTTTTAAACAACATTCATAGATACTGTTTTTATTTGTCAGTTAAAGTGTATATAATTTAAAAATAAAATAAGCTCTATATTAACAGTAGTCTGTATTATAAAGCATTTGCTTCCCTCAAATGTTTCAACATTTCCTATGTCATAACTGGACCCCAAACTTAGCTGAAATTTTCATATACATATTCTTAAGGACCTAAACCAGTGGTTTGCTTTGGTCCTATGATCACCCTTCACAAAGTCTGACACTTCTGCATTATTTATATCAGTATTTCTCCAACTATAGTCTTTGGCTCTTTAGATATCTATGAACTTATTCTGAGGAGTGGAAGAAACTAGTCTTTTTTAATTTGTAGGTTCTTAACATGGGGTTCTTGAGCAGAGGTGAGAAAATAATTGCATATTTTATTTTCACTAACTTCTAACTGAAATAAAACATTTCTCTTTAAAGTAAATTGGCAACACAGGCAGATTTTTTATAGGTCATTACAATTACTGTGAAAACCTTGAAAGTTTTTTAATGCTTATCACTAATTTAAAATTATGGGGGTTATCAAACCTGATGACAGATCTCATTATTTATTGGTAATAAAAATTCACCAATAATATATTTGTCAATGTTATGATTTTTTAGATATTTTGATTACTGTAATTCTGGATAATTGGTTTCATCTTACTGGTTGAATTTAGTTTTATGCTTTGAAAAACTATCCTGAGAAGCAGCCCGTAAGCTACAAGAGACAGGCAGAAGAGTCTATGGGATAAAAATGGTTAAGAATCCACAACTTAGAAGGAGTCTATAGTATTACTCCAGTCTAGGGGTGGAGGGAGAACTGCCTTCTGTTATCACTCCTTGCTTTAAGAAACCTGTGTTCAGGCTTTTGCTTTGAATACTAAACCATCTATTTCTGTATTTATCATATTTCTTTGAGTCGATACCTTTGAGCCTTCCTAGATGGCTTCTTATCACTTGAAGTTGACTATAAATGGATTCTTTTATTTTGTTTACCCTGGAGTCAGAACAGGCAGGAGGAAATCAGGTTGAGAGGAGTAAAGCATCCCAAGGAAAATTTTATCAATTAAATGTTAATGCAAAAAAAAACCTATTCATTCTCTTGATTTGTGTTACTTTAAGGTGAAATCCAGAATATCAAATGAACTTATCAAAAGGATGCCTAAATGCTTTCAACTTTTTGGTGAGTTCTTTAACTAAGTTCCACTAGGTTTAAAATATAAATATATTGTTTCCACTTAAGCAATCTCCAGATAATATTTTAAAAGATAATGAAATAATATCTAAGACCCTCAGATGGAAGCTACTGTATTAAGTGCTAACTCTAATCATTATTTTCTTAAATATTTGGATATTTGGATCTCACTGAAACATGTAACATTCTTTTGAAATGACCTGTGAATAGAAAAATGCAATCAAAGCATGTTGCAGTGGAAGCACCTGCTTCTCTCCGTTCTGTAAGAATAGAGTCTCAATGAATAGCCTGCTGAAATTCCAATGGCTTTATCAAATGAGACCCTGACCAGGTTTTCCAACAATATTTAAAGCCTCCCTTAGTGATTTCACTGCATTTACAGAGAGACCTCAACAATCAAGAAGGAAATGTGTGTTTTGCTCTTTCTTGGCTCTGTTCAGTCCCTGGTTTTATCAAGCTGCCGCACAGCACTTCTGTCCTGAAAGATGCCTGTGTGACTTGGATACCATTTCATAGAGTCACACTGGATCCTCTTATGTCCTGCCAATTAAATTATCTTCTCCAGCCTTTATTCCTGCCAAAGAGGCTCAGGCTGAGATAAGGTCACACTCCTCTTAAGTTGTTTTTGAAATAGTGTGGAAGGCCTCATGAAGAATAAGAACATGCACAAGCATTAATGCCTCATCTTCCCCAGCCCCCTTGGTAGATACTGAATTTCTCTGCAGAAGTTCCTTCTATTGTGTACCACCACCCTGAATCTCTAAAAACTGAAGAGTCCTCCTTAATCTCATTAAATTAAACTATAGCACTACACAAAGCATGTGCTAAATGTGAGATTCCATTATCACTGTGCCAGTTGAATTACAGATCAGACATCATAGGAACTGAGAGGAGGTTCTTAAATTGGTCCTGTTCAGGGAATCTAGGGAACAATACTTGACTCTCTTCTGTATTTATATAAAACTATCTCTATTCTGCTACACATCTAAAACAAAATTAAATTTTTGTAAGCTATCTAGATAATGGCTATTTTTCATGTTTTGCATTCTACACTTCTCCTTGGCTTTTGCTTTCCCCATCAGAATGTTTCACAAGACACAACTAAGGTAATGGATCTTTATTTTATAAAACACACAAAGTGTAATAATTGAGCTTTCAGTTGATTTCATATTTTGCACCAAGGTACTACCTTTCCATGAGGAGATGCCTGCAAACTCAAGCTCTAGACTTATAGGAGACTATAAAGTGTTCTCTAAGACCCTCGTTTAAAGTGCCTCTTAGGACTTTTGAGACTGTCGAGATGAATTCTACTTTCTGGGTCCTGAATCCAAAATGAGCGGAAGAGGACCTACGGTTGCCCTGTAAGAGTGGGTACAAGGGTAAGAAGTCCTCAGGGTGTGGCGCTCAGACTGGCTCACAGACATACCAACTTCCTCTGAAACTTAAACATTCCCAGCCACCTGTCCCTTCCACGCACCCTCTCCGTTGCCTACTCACAAAATCATTGTTGTATTTTGTGTAAAACCTCATCATTCCTTTATGTTTCCGATGAAAGATTCTTGCTGACCCTTAGTACTCCAGTTCCCCAACCCTTGCAAGGGATTTCATACTCAGAGAACACATGGCCCAGATTGGAGAAACTGCAAAAGCACAGATAGTCACTGTTTGCTTGCATATCTGCTGACACAGTTTCTGGCACGATAGAATATTAGCACGAGGAAAAGCTAGGCTCTTGAGTATATGCTTTTCCTAAACTCTCTCTCTTTATGGAGTCTTCTCAATCCAAAGAATTATAACAGAATGAAGAGTTTAAAAATTTTAGGTAAAGGAATTGAAATCAGAGATGATTGAGAAGGCTTTTGAGCTGATTGAGAGATCTGTGAGTATTTTCCTCCTTTGAGCTGTCTTGTTTTTTGTTTTTTGTTTTTTTGACGGAGTTTTGCTCTTGTTTCCCAGGCCGGAGTGCAGTGGCGCCATCCTGGCTCACTGCAACCTCTGCCTCCCTGGTTCAAGCAATTCTCCTGCCTCAGCCTCCCAAGTAGCTGGGATTATAGGCATCCGCCATCACGCCCGGGTAATTTTTTGTATTTTTAGTTGAGACGGGGTTTCACCATGTCGGCCAGGCTGGTTTCAAACTCCTGACCTCGTGATCTGCCCACCTTGGCCTCCCAAAGTGCTGGGATTACAGGCATGAGCCACCGCGCCCGGCCCTATTTTTCTCTTTCTTAGCTTTTCTGTTTCATCCTATGCTTAAGTAATTTCTGATTTATACTAGATACTATAAATAATATTTTGTGAAATCTTGGGATTTTATTAATTTTCCCTGAAAGTTGTTGAGTTATTTTCCACCAAAGACTTTTAAATGACTGACAGGTAACCATAAATTTGTAGAGGTTTGGTTTTCTGCTTTATGAAAGTGGGACTATTGTGGTTTGCCTCCTAATCCTGAGGAAATCACTTAGTCCTAGGCCATTACCTTTACTCTTAAGATGGGGAAGTCTGAGTATTTACCAAGCTTTTTTAGCTTGGCAGGTCTTAAACTCCAAATTTTCTTATCTCTTCAGTTAAAATATCTACTCAGCTCTTTATAGCCTTCAGCTCTATTTTTTTTCTCCCTGGACATTTTGGGACCTCATAAGCACGTATGCAGTTGAGGAGTCACACAAGGATTTGAGAAAATTTTATAGGCAGATCTTGATATCTTTCACTGTTGTTCTCTCCTTTCAACACTCTGGTGGTCCTGCATCCATGCTCTGAAGCCAGTAAGGGTGTGGTT